>NC_000003.12:120978301-121281331 GCF_000001405.40 Homo sapiens | reverse complement strand
CTCCAGAAACTGAAATTTCTAGCTCTCCTAAAATATTGCTAAAAGTTGAGATCCCTCACTAAAAACCCTTGGTTTCTGAAAGAGAAATTTTGTGCCCCTCAAAAGGGTCTAAACTGGTAATTCAGAAATCATTGAGTTTTGCAAAAGAAAGGTTAACAAGAAGAGTTTCAGTATAACAAGTTTCATTAGTCCAAAAAGGAAATTCATTTATTATCACATTTGGATGTTAAATTTGACATATCTGCCACTTGGAAAATAACACCTACCATCATGTACCTTTTTTATTTTTTATTATATTTTCCTATGGTCATATTTAGTAATATCATCAATATTCAATAAATTATTTTAAATAATACAATGTAGAAATTTTATTTTATTTACTTATTAAAAAATTTAAAAAGTTATTATTATTATTATTATTAGAGATGGGGTCACACTATGTTACGTAGACTGGTCTTGAATTACTGGCCTCAAGAAATCCTCTCACCTCGGCCTCCCAAAGTACTGGAATTACAAGCATAAGCCACCATATCTGGCCCAAAGTAGAAGACTTTAAAGGACTGTCTAAAATAACACTTAATATTATAGAAGCATTTTCATCTGCAACCTTTTGGCCTAATTTTCTTTTACCAACTGGACTGTCAATGGACAGAAAATATGCAAAACTTTGGCAGTGTTTATAAAGCCAACTATTTGGATATATACTAAAATTTCAGTAAAACTTTGGATAATTGGCATATCAAAGTTTGGCATTAAATCCTAATTACCTTAAGTTTATTTTCTTTTATAGTTAAATACATCGATTTATTGATCCTTCCAAGAAAAATGCCATCTGTCATAGTACTTTAAAAATGTTAATGAAAAATGTTTATTGAATTGTGAAAATACCTTCAGGAAGGTCATCATCCAACAAGGAAAGGAGTCAGCTACAATATGGAATTAATTTAAAAAATTAAAAGTAGTAAATGACCTAAAATTATCTCTTTAAAGGGACCAGATATTTTAGAAGAAAGTTAACCTGTTTGACACAACCATTGCAAGCAGTTTTTTTCAACTACAGAGCCCTAATTTTCATAGCATTTTTACATTTAATAGCTTCTTATTTTCTGTTATTTCTTAGGAATTAAACCTAAGAAAGTTGAGATGCTTCCTAACTTCAATAGCAAATTGAAGTTTAAACATACACACCCCTGACCCTTTCAAAGATTCTCACAATGTTTCTGCCCAATTTATTTTACTTACATGATTTTGTAAATTATGTTGATTTTATTTTGCCATGCATTTGAATAGTATCAGAGAAGAAAGACAAGAAATCTAAAAATAAGAACACAGATGACCAAATCAAGTTCATAACTCATCTTGTTTTATCTCCTACCTGCAATGAACTGTTTGTTTTTTCGAGGAGACCGTGGTTGTCGCTGGTATAAGTCACTTGATCTATATAGGTCAATGGTCCCCATGCTTAACAGTACTGTCTTCTGTATAAAATCCACCACAGCCAACCCATTGCAGTTCCCAAATGCAACTCTAAGAGAGAAAAAAAATACAACTAGAATGTATCACAACAAGCATGATTATTTTTATCTTCAAATCAATCATAGGATTATTGAAAAGTAATGTCTTAGGGTTGGGGAAGTTGGGCAGTGATTTGTGTAAAGTCAAGAAGGATGCCTTGCCTTTATGATGGATAAACTGTCTTCGTATAATAGGCATACAATTTACCACAAAAAAAGGATGATCGGCAATTATATTTTGCCAGCAGTTTTATCATGTAAGTCGTGATTACCCAATCCGCTCTTTAAACTAGGCCTTATGTTTTCACAGAAGAATCACACAAAACCTTTTTGCTATGCAAGGGGGAGATAGGTTAAGAAATGTCACTAGCTAAAGATGCTTACGTATGTAATTAGATGCCTTTTTCAAATAAAATTATAACTACTAGACTCCAAATTAATTATCTTCTGAAAGAGAGAAAAATAAAAATTAACTTCATATATCAAAGGCATTGACACTATATTAGAAATGAGGAGATACAAAAAGTTAAATGTTTCTTACTTTTGTGCTCTTTATTTTGTGCCCCTTTCAAAAGATAAAGAGACCATTTGATTAATTACTTAACTAAATCTCCTGAGAAATTTAAAAAAGACAGCTCTTCTAAGTAGGCATTTTGATTATCTTAACCATTAGGCATACATTAACTCTTATTTTTCTCCATTTACAATATGTCCTCTAGCTGAACAATTCTGTCGGTACTTTTTGCTTCATAAACTATTAAACATTAGTTATATGAATGTTGTTTTGCTTGTTTTATGTACGTTCCATGTTGTATTATTTAGATTGAATCTTGTTTACAAACCATCTGCTTACTCTTAAAATGGTTCTTTCCACTTCACTACACAAGTTAAAACACAACAACAACAACACTTCTACCCATACTAGATGTTTTGCTAATTCACATAGAGCTCTACATCTTCCAGTAAGACAAACTTTGGAAACTGAAAAAAAGTATTGTTATACTGGTCAGATCTGGGTTTAATTCTCATCTCTATCACTTACAGGATATGTGACTTTGAGAAAAATTAATGAATCTTGCTTGGCCTTAGCTTCTTTATAATGATAATTACACTTCTACATTTATCTGGTTCACAGAGCTTTTATGAGTATCAAGTCAGAAAATTATTTTTAAAGTACATTGAAATTTTTCCATGCAAAAAGAATTGATCTTAATATTATAAATAAATGCAATATTATACATGTTACCAGTTATAACAAATTAGTATCCTTAAACTTTTTATGTTAAAATATAGCAAATTACTTCTGCTTACAGACACGATAGAGTTTCTAAATGCAATAATGACTGAAAAAATGTAGGCAACTAGGATGCATGACATTCTATATACCATAAATAATTATTTTTGTCTTGGAATTAAAAATAAGAATACTGAGAAGTTATAGCTTAGGGCTGGGGAAGTCAGGCAGTAGTTGTCAGAAAGTTGGTAAAGAGAAAAGATTTAATCTCCTATTTTAAATTACTAGAAAAGTGGGCAAAAATATATTAAACAACAGTTTTCACATATTGGTCAACAGGCAACATAGAATAAGATGAGAGAAGGATAGCAACCAAGGTAATACATTTCACAAATGTTCTGTGTTAGTGACTGAAGATAGTTCCCAGGCTTGGGCACAGGAAACTAGAACTCAAAGAGAGATTGATGGTCTCATTTAGTTGAGGAGGCAGAGATGAGAGACTGAGACTACAAAAACAGCTACAACTAATAAGGCAAAATAAACTGCACAGAGAGAGAATACCAGAGATTTGCAGAAAGATGTCCTTGAGACTTCGGCTGTGTACTAATCTGTGCATCCATGTGCAGAAGCTACTCAAGACCTATAAAAGAGCCACCAAAAAGATAAGGCAGAACAATTCCCAGAGCTCACACAAGGCTAAGAATATTTTATGCTACTACCAATGAAACTGCAGAGCTCTCCTAATACATGGAACAGCAGATATAGGAGTGTCACTTCAGCAGTGAGACAAATTAGCTACAGATTCCAAGTAACTTAATTTCATTCCAGGAAAAAGTTGAACACTACTAAAAAAAGGCACAAAATACCACCAAAAACGTAAAATTCACAATATCTAGTATATAAAAAGTAGCAGGCATATAAAGAATCAGGAAAATATGATAACCAGAGGAAAAAATAGCTCAATAGAAACATATCCAGAAATGAAAGAGATGATAAAACTAGCAGATGGAAAATAATGAAAGTGCTTTTCAAAGCATATTACAGATAATCAAGAAGGTTGAGGAAAATACAAATGTGACAAAGGAAGGAATGGAAGACATAAAAAAGCCTTAGAGATATAAATGTATATGAAATTTAAACATTATCTGCACATTAGACATTATAGTAGAAAAGAATAGAGAATGCTATCCTCTGAATGTTTGTGTTTTCCCAAAATTAATACGTTAAAACTTAACCCCCAAGATGATTGTATTAAGAGGTGGGAACTTTGGAAGGTGACTAGGTCATGAAAATGGAGCTCTCATGGATAAAATTAGAGCCCTTATAAAAGAGGCCCTAGAGAGCTGCCTCACCCCTTCCATTATGTGACGATGAATTTAGAAGGTACTATCTATAAGGAACAGGTTCTCACCAGACATCAAATCTACTGGTGCCTTGATATTAGACTTCTCAGCCTTCAGAATTGTGAGAAATAAATTTCTGTTGTTTATAAGCTACCCAATTTATAGTATATTTGTTTACAACATCCCAGACTAAGACAGTAAACTTGAAGAAATAACAGAAATTACCTAAAATGAAATGAGATCTTTAAAACTTTAAAAAACAAAACTCCATAATTGGAGTTTCATAAAGGAAGAACAAAAGAAAACATATTTGAAAAAATGATAGCCAATTTATATAAATGACAGACAAAATTTGAAGACAGTAATAAGCCTGCAGATAATAGAAACTTAAAGATCCCAAGCAGAATAAGAATGAAGAAAAACAAAAAGGCATCATAATCATATTGCTGAAAACAACTAATAACAAAGAGAAAATGTTAAAAGCTGGCAGATAAAAAAATTTATTACATGTAAAAATTAAAATGATAAAATCATTAAAAAAATTAGATGAAACTATACAAACCAAAAGATGATGGAGTGGCATCTTTGCAGTAAGAAATAAAAATAATGTCAACCTAAAATTGTATACCCAGCAAATACATCTTTCAAGCAGTGGAAAAGAATTTTTGCAAAAAAACAAAAGCTGAAGGAATTCATCACTCACATAAATGGGTTACAAAAATAATAAGGGAAATCTTAGACAGAAAAAAATGATTCCAGATGGAAATATGGATCTCCACTATATAATGAAGAGCAACAAAAATGTTAAATATGAAAATTAATATTAAAGACTTTTCTCATTTCTTTAAAGGATAATTGACTAAAGTAAAATTAATAACAATGTATTATGCGGTTTATAACATATGGAAGTAAATTTATGACAATAATGCAAAAAACAGGAGGATAAATAGAAGCATGCTGTTGTAAAGTTATTAAAATATATGAAAAGTGGTATCATTCCATTTATTTATCTACTTATTTGATAATTCAAAGATACATATTGTAAGCCTGAGAACAAAAAACTAAAAGAAGTATATCTAATAAATCAATAATGAAGTTAAAATAGAATCATTAAAAGATATGCAATCTTTCCCTGAGAAGAAGGCAGAGAAAAAGAAGAAAAAAAAAAGGGGGAGTGGGGGGACAAAGAGAAAAACAAATTAGAAAATGTTTGGCTTAAGCCCAATCACATAGATAAGTATATTAATGTAAATGACTGAAACACTCCAATTATGGGCAGAGATTGCCTGAGTGGATAAAAAGTAAGACCCAACTATATGGTGCCTACAACAAATCCACTTTAAATATAAAGCGAAATGATGGAAAACATTTACAATGAAAACACTAATTTAAAAAATGCTGAAACGACTATACTAATATAGACAAAGTCTATTTCAGAAAAAGGAAATTTTGAGAGATATATAGGGAGAATGATTAAGGAATCAATTTCTTAAGAAGATATAGCAATCCTAAATGTGGATTCATCTTATAATAAAGCTTCAAAATTCATGAAAACCAATAGAACTGAAAGGGAAAATAGACAAATCTACAATTAAGGTGTAGTATGCAAACATTCCTCTTTTAATAACTGATAGAATAATCAGAGAAAACAAATCAGTAGGGATATAGAATTTGTAAGCGACACTGTGAACCTCCTTCACTGAACTAAAATTTATGGAACTCTTGAATCAACATTCATAGTGGCATTGCAATTATGAAATACATATGAATAAATTTAACAGCAAATGTGGAAAATCTGTACATTAAAAATTATAATTATTGTTGAGAGAAATTAAAGAAGACTTAAGTAAATTGAAAGATGTACCTTGCTTAATGGTTAGAAAATTCAATATTGTTACTTTTCCCCAAACTGATCTACAAATTCACAGCAATTTCAAACAAAATCCCAGCAGACTTCTTTTTTACTTAAGAAACTTAAAACATGATTGTAAAATATATAGAGAAGTATAATAGACCTAGAATAGCCCAAATTGTTCTGAAAAATAAGAAAGTTTGAGGATACAGACTATATAATCTTAAGACTTAATTAAAAGTACAGGAATCAAGACAGGCCGGTATTGGTATAAAGACAGACCTAGATATTGGTAGAACAGATGAGTACCTGGAAATAAACTCACACATACATGGTCAAATAATATTTGACAAAAGTGCTAAGAAACATATATAATCTTCAACAAATGATGATGAAGCAGTTGTATATTCATAAGTAAATAACTGACTGCTCTCTTACCTTGGGTTATAAGTCAGGGCTTTTACCTACTTTCACTGGGGCTTCAGACTACTGCTCTGCATCCTGCCCCTGTCGTGACCTGACAGGCCTCTGATACACCCTGTTGTCGCTGGACCCACGTTACTGCTATGTTCCATGCTATTACTATGTCTCATCACCCCTGGGACCAAGTCATCATGGCATTCCCCAAAGATGACACAGGTTCTCACTCTATAGGCAATCTGTATATGCCCAGGCCTCAGACATTGGTGTCAATGCCAAATAAAAAAAATGCACCTGTGCCCCAGGCACCACCTCAGTTACATGTGCCTCTGACCACAGAGCCCTGGCTTCATGGCTGCTCTGGGCACCTGCACCCAGAACCAGCATTGCTGACTGTGCACCAGTGGCCAGGATCCCAACACCACCACAGCTGCATGTGTGCCAGCACATCAGACTTAGTGCCAAGAGGAATCACTTTGGCTGGAACTTCCCTATGTGAGATAAAAGTTGAATAGGAGAAACTCAACAGCTTTCAATACTGAGGACCTTAACAGCCTTAACCACTACAGTTACTACAGACATCTGCAACTTTGGCTTCTGCCATGGATACCTGCAGTATTTGCCAACACTGACTTCGGCTGATTAAACTGCATTGAGACCATACCTGTGTCTTTCTTAAAACAGGAGATGTTGCACCCCATCCAGCTGGTGCCCTTGTAGCCATTCACAGCTGAAAGCATTTCCCCACTGTATCTACTTCAAAAAGACCAGATCAGGTGACTTGTTGCCTCAAATATACAAACATCAATGCAAGTTCACTAAAAACACAAAAAAGCAGGGAATGATAACACTGGCAAAGGAACACAATAGCTATCCAGGAACTGACCTCAACAAAATGGAGATCTATTAGTTATCTGAAAAATGATTCAAAATAATTATTTTTCAAATTCAAAATAATTATTTTAATTCTTTTAAGGAAGCTCAAGCTGAGCAAGACACAAGAGTAAACAGACAACTCAAGAAACAATGGAAAATAATACGTGAATAAAATTTAAAGTTCAACAAAAAGAAATCACAAAAAAGAACCAAGTAGAAATTCTGGAGCTAAAAGAATAATGAATGAAAGAAAAAATGCAGTAGAGAGCTCTGCTAGCCGACTTGATCAAGCAAAAGAAAAAATTTGAAAACTTGAAGACAGATCTTTTGAAATTATACTATCAGAGTACAAAAAATAGATAAGAATAGAAAAGAGGAAAGAAACCCTATAGAACACTGAAAATAACAAAAAACAGAAAAGAAACCCTTATTGAACACTATCAAGAGAACCAATAGTCACATTATGGGAGATTCAGAGGAAGAGAGAGAAAGGGACAGAGAGTACATTTAAAGAAATAATGGTTGAAAACTTTGATAACCTTGAGAGAAATATACATATCCAGATTTATGAAGTTCAAAGGTTCCCAAACAGATTCAATCCAAAAGACAGCTTCACACAGACACATTATAATCAAACTGCCAAACATTAAAAAAAATTGAAAGCAGTAAGAGAATAGTAACTTGTTACATACAAGGGAACAGTAATAGTGCTAACAGAACACTTCTCAGCAGAAACCATACAGCACCAGAGAATGGGATGATTTATTCAAAGCGCAAAAAGAAAAAAAAAAAACTGCCATCCAACAATACCGTATCTAGCAAAATTGTTCTTCAGAAATGAAGGAGAGATACTTTCACAGACAAACAAAAGTGATGATGAAGTTCATCACCACTAGACCTGTCTTACAAGAAATGCTAAAGGGATCTTAAATTAAGCTAACATGGAAGGGTGTTAATTAGTAACATGAAATCATATAAAAGCATAAAATATACTTATAAATGTAAATTTATAGTTAAATTCACAATATTGTAGTACTGAAATGATGGTGTATAAATCAACTTTAAGTCCAGTATAAAGGTCAAAAGACAAAAGTATTAAAAGTAACTATAGGTATAATATTTTGTTGTTTTGTTAATAAATTCACAATATAAAATATATATAAATATAAAATGTGTGCTGGAGGAGAGTGACAGGTAAAATGGTAGAGATTTTGAATGAAATTGAAGTTGAGTTGTTATCATTTCTAAATAGACTGTTATTAAGTATAAGATGTTCCACGTAAGCCTCATCGTAGTTGTAAAACAGAAACATAGTAGGTATATATGAGATAAAGAGAAAAGAATCAAAGCATATCACTACAGAAAATCAACAAAGCACAAGGGAACACAGCAAGCAAGAAAGGAAGGACAAAGAATCCATTAAAAATAACCAGAAAATAAAAATAGCATTGTAAATTTGTACCTACTAATCATTACTTTAAATGTAAATTGTTTAAATTCTCCAAACAAAAGGAAGAGTGGCTGAATGGATCAAAAATTAAGATCCAACTATATGCTGCCTACAAGAGATTAACTTTAGCCTTACACATAGGCTGAAAGTGAAGGGATGAACATGAATTTCTATAAAAATGGAAGCTAAAATAGAGCAGAGGTAGCTTAATTATATCAGAAGAGAACAGACTTTAAGTTAAAAACTGTCATAAGACAAAGAGGATCATTAAATAACAATAAAGAAGTCAATCCATCAAGAAGATATAACAACTATGAATACATATGTGCCCAATATCAGAATACCTAAATATGTAAAGCAAATATTAACACAACTGAAGGGAGATACAAATGGCAATTCAATAAAAGTAGGGCATTTCAACACTCTCACTTTCAACAATAGATACATTATCTAGACAAAAAATCAGTAAAGAAAATTGGACCTGAACTATATGTTAGTGCAGATGGATCTAACGGACACATACAGAATATTCCATTCAACAGCAGAAGAATACACATTCTTCTCCAGCACATGTGAGACATTCTTCAGAACAGATAACATGTTAGACCAAATCTTAGCTGATTGAAATCATATCAAGTACCTTTCCTGATCACAATAGTATAAAACTAGAAATCAATCACAGGAAGAAAATTTTAAAATGGACAAATATCTCCTGTTCCACCATAGTAAGATGTGCTTGCTTCCCCTTCACCTTCCACCATGATTGTAAGTTTCCTGAGGCCTCCCAGCTTTGCTTCCAGCACAGCCTGCAGAACTGTGAGTAAATTAAACCTCTTTTCTTCATAAATTACCCAATCTCAGACATGTCTTTAGAGTAGTTTGAGAATGGACTAATACAGTTTTAATTGATGCAGTAAAAGGATTTGACTGAATTCACAAGACATTCATGATAAAAAGATTTCTTAGAAGAATCCAAAAGCAAGAATATAAAAGAATAAATTGATAAGCTACTTCAAAATTATAACCTCTATATATCCTTTAAAATTGTATCTCATATATATCAAAAAGTGTTCAATGTTTGTTTTTTCTTAGCTTTGTATACTGATAGGGGCTAGAGGCAATGACAACAATAGAAATGAGCATCTATTGTGCCCAGACATTGTTTTCTAAATAACATTCTCCAGTAAAAGAAGACTAAGATAGCTGATTCCAGGGGTAGACTAAAGAATATACAAGATACATATTGAACATCACATTGTACTGGAAAATAACAAACTGCTAAAAAACGATGGGAACATATCAAAAGGACATAGAAGCCATTTTGATGGGGTTCCATATGGTCAAATCTGGAAGAATTAGAGCATCACAGGCACAAATGATAGAAACAGATCTTAACTCACTGAATAAAATGCAAATCTAAGATTTCATACTTATATAGTAAACAAGTAAATAAATGTTTATATAGGATAGGGAGTTATGGTCTCTTAATAGTAGAATCTAACTTATAAATATAGAAGGGTAACAGAGAATAACCAATGGATGCTAAATGTAATGGGTGAAAGTTTGATGAGTAAGAAGTTTAAAAACTTTCAAGTATCTCCCCACAAACTATTATCTATGAAGGGAAACAGCAACTTTATAGTGGAGAAACCTGGTAGATATCACCTTAACAAGCAATCAAAATTAGCACCACTAAAATTAGGACAATCCATGATCATGTACCTTCTGATAAGATAAACTGAGAAGACATTACCTTGTTTCTGTGGTATTCCTGCCAAAATGCTTAATTTACTCTCATCATGAGGAAATATCAGACAAACTCAGCTGAGGTACAGTTAACAATATAATTGGCTGTACTCTAAAAATATGAAGGTTAAAAAATAAATGCTGGGTCAGGCACAGTGGCTCACGCCTGTAATCTCAGCACTTTGGGAGGCCTAGGTGGGCGGATCACATGAGGTCAGGAGTTCAAGGCCAGCCTGGTCAACGTGGCAAAACACCATCTCTACTAAAAATACAAAAATTAGCTGGGTGTGGTGGTGCATGCCTGTAATCCTAGCTACTCAGGAGGCTGAGGCATGAGAATTGCCTGAACCCAGGAGGTGAAGGTTGCAGTTAGCTGAGATCGTGCCACTGTACTCCAGTCTGGGCAATAGAGCGAGACACCATCTAAAAAAAAAATGCTGAAGAACTGCCCCCGATTAAAGGAGACTAAGAAGAAATGAAAACTAAAAGCAATGCCAGATCCTGGATTTGATTCTGTTCTGTGAATAGACAATATAAATGACATTATTGGGACATATCTAGAAATTTAATATGGTATGTGAAGTAGAAAATAGTCCTGAATCAATGTTGAATTTCTTAATTTAAAAAATACACTATGCTTATGATGTAAAAAAAAAAAAAAAAAGCTCTTCTTCTTAGGAAACATACACTGAAAGAGTAAGACCAGTTTTCAGTTCTTAAATTTGTTATATTATCTTTCCAAGTTCAGAGCAAAACCCTCAATATGAGTGACTACTCATATTTTATCAAAAGCCCAATATCACAACATATCCAAAGGGGAACAAGACTGAATTTCAAAGGTTCTTACAAGAATTCTATTCCAGCAAAAAATTCTTAAACTGAAACGTGAGATATGCAATTTACTTCTAAACATAGACTCAAATGGCAAGTAACACAACTTAAGTCTAAGGATCTCACAGGCTAATATAAACAAACTGGCACAATTAATCCTAAATAATAATGTACAACTGGTCACATTACAATTGGTAGACCATTCTCCATTAGTACTTCACTGTACTGCACAGTCCTTTTAGTGAAGGCATTTACAGTTATGTTTGTATAAAGAGACATCCCAGAATAGTAAAGCTTAGGGGCATCTCCCTACTTTGAGACATTTCAGGGTAGTAGAGATAAAAAACCTCTCTTCTTCCCCAGAGAATATTTGCTTATGTTCCAGAGTAAAGATAAATGGGCAGTTCACCAGCAGACCTACATAAGATGTGAGTTTTTAAAACTTGGAGTTCCTCTTTTATTATGCACCCAGTTGCACATGCAAGTACCATCTGCCACTCACCATGTTCCCCTGTGGGCTCAGAGAACTGATGCAAGATCTTGCACTAAGCTGCTGCTTTTGCTGTCACTAATAAACTATCTTTGTTCTGACCCAGAGGACTATTTTCTGTCTATATATATATATACATATATATATATACACACACACACATATAATACTGTCGCAGACAAATTTACTATTTTCTAAGAGGGAAACATCTTAGACCCTTCACAGTTTCTGACTTAACAGTTGCCCCTTGATATGTTCTTCAAAAGAGTAAACAATTAATAGTGAATGGAATAGTAAGGCCACTGAGTTAACTAAAGTTAACCACATTAATCCTTGAAAATTATTTTCCTAGTTAGACTTCGGCCAACCAGGATTTAGAACATCAAGTGGTTTCCACATATTTCTTATAATAATCATGATTGTCTTATGCTTTTTTCCCCCCTTAATGTCTAATGTCCAGATACTGAAATGCTGCTACATAGGCATTGTAATGAGGTACTATATAACTAATAATCTGTTCTATAAAGAGACTGAGGCCCTCATGGTCAGTCAGCTTGGGGGTTGAGTTTGACCAAAAGGGTGAAATTGAGAAATTATAAGAAGAAGAATGATAAAGACCTGGTGTAATTCAGACAGGCATACTACTAAATGATAATGACATAAATAATACAGAAAATGTCTTCCATATATGTGCGACAAACTGAACAGCTAAAGCCTTTTGGAAAAGCTAGAAATAAATGAAATCAGTTTAGTTGATGATTCATACAGCTGTCCAAAAGCAAATACCCTGACTGGTCTTTTGGCCGGCTGCTAACTCATTAGCATCTCACAATGAAAAAAAAATAGAAAATTCATTGTTTAGAAAGTGGCCGTGGTTTTTCTCTCTCTGCTTTTCCCTTTTTATTATATATAAATGCTTTGTTTGCATTCATTAGATGAAATCAATCTATTACGCTTTAATGTGTATTCAAGTATATAATATGGTAATAATCAATATATATCTTTCAGTTATTCTTTTTTTATTATACTTTAAGTTCTGGGATACATGTACAGAATGTGCAGGTTTGTTACCTAGGTATACATGTGCCATGGGGGTTTGCTGCACCCATCAACCCATCATCTACATTAGGCACTTCTCCTAATGCTACCCCTCCCCTAGCACCCCATCCCCTGACAGGTCCCAGTGTGTGATGTTCCCCTCCCTGTGTCCATGTGTTCTCATTGCTCAGCTCCCACTTATGAGTGGGGACATGCAGTGTTTGGTTTTCTGTTCCTGTGTTAGTTTGCTGAGAATGGATTCCAGCTTCATCCATGTCCCTGCAAAGGACATGAACTCATACATTTTCATGGCTGCATAGTATTCCATGGTGTATATGTGCCACATTTTCTTTATCCAGTCTATCATTGAAGGGCATTTCGGTTGGTTACAAGTCTTTGCTATCGTGGACAGTGCTGCAATAAACACATGTGTGCATGTGTCTTTATAGCAGAATGATTTATAATCCTTTGGGTATATATCCAGTAATGGGATTGCTGGGTCAAATAATATTTCTGGTTTGAGATCCTTGAGGAATCGCCACAACTGTCTTCCCCAATGGTTGAACAAATTTACACTGCCACGAACAGTGTAAAAGCGTTCCTATTTCTCCAAATCCTCTCCAGCATCTGTTGTTTCCTGACTTTTTAATAATCACCATTCTAACTGGCGTGAGATAATATCTCATTGTGATTTTAATTTGCATTTCTCTAATGACCAGTGATGATGAGCTTTTTTTCATATATTTGTTGGCTGCATAAATGTCTTCTTTTGAGAAGTGTCTGTTCCTATCGTTTGCCAACTTTTTGATGGGGTTGTTTTTTTCTTGTAAATTTGTTAAAGTTCTTTGTAGATTCTAGATATTAGACCTTTGTCAGATGGATAGATTGCAAAAATTTTCACCCAGTGTGTAGGTTGCCTGGTCACTCCGATGATAGTTTCTTTTGCTGTGCAGAAGCTCTTTAGTTTAATTAGATCCCATTTGTCAATTTTGGCTTTGTTACCATTGCTTTTGATGTTTTAGTCATGAAGTCTTTGCCCATGCCTATGTCCTGAATGGTATTGCCTAGGTTTTCTTCTAGGGCTTTTATAGTTTCAGGTCTTATGTTTAAGTCTTTAATCCATCTTGTGCTAATTTTTGTATAAGGTCTAAGGAAAGGGTCTAATTTCAGTTTTCTGCATATGGCTAGCCAGATTTCCCAACACCATTTATTAAATAGGGAATTCTTTCACCATTGCTTGTTTTCGTCAGGTTTGTCAAAGATCAGATGGTTGTAAATGTGTGGTGTTATTTCTGAGAACTTGGTTCTGTTCCATTGGTCTATATATCTGTTTTAGTACCAGTATTATGCTGTTTTGGTTACTGTAGCCTTGTAGTATAGTTCGAAGTCAGGTAGCATGATGCCTCCAGCTTTGTTCTTTTTGCTTAGGATTATCTTAACTATACGGGCTCTCTTTTGGTTCCATATGAAATTTAAAGTACTTTTTTATAATTTTGTGAAGAAAGTCAATGGTAGCTTGATGGGGATAGCATTGAATCTATGAGCACGGAATGTTTTTCCATCTGTTTGTGTCCTCTCTTATTTCCTTGGGCAGTGGTTTGTAGTTCTCCTTGAAGAGGTCCTTCACATCCCTTCTAAGTGGTACTCCTAGGTATTTTATTCTCTTTGTAGCAACTGTGAATGAGAGTTCACTCTCTTTGTCTGTTGTTGTTGTATAGGAATTGTAGTGATTTTTGCACACTGATTTTGTATCCTGCCACTTTGTTGAAGTTGCTTATCAGCTTAAGGAGATTTGGGGCTGAGACGATAGGGTTTTCTAAATATACAATCATGTCATCTGCAAACAGAGACAATTTGACTTCCTCCCTTTTTATTTGAATACCCTTTATTTCTTTCTCTTGCCTGATTGCCCTGGCCAGAACTTCCAATATTAATGTTGAACAGGAGTGGTGAGAGACCGCATCCTTATCTTGTGTCAGTTTTCAAAGGGAATGCTCCCAGCTTGTGCCTATTGAGTATGATATTGGCTGTGGGTTTCTCATAAATAGCTCTTATTATTTTGAGATACGTTCCATCAATTACTAGTTTATTGAGAGTTTTTAGCCTGAAGGGCTGTTGAATTTTATCAAAGGTCTTTTCTACATCTATTGAGATAATCAAGTGGTTGTCATTGGTTCTGTTTATGTGATGGATTACGTTTATTGATTTGCACATGTTGAAGCAACCTTGCATCCCAGGTATGAGGCCAACTTGATCGTGGTGGATAAGCTTTTTGATGTCCTGCTGGATTCGGTTTGCCCGTATTTTATTGAGGATTTTCGCATCGATGTTCATCAGGGATATTGGTCTGACATTTTCTTTTTTTGTTGTGTCTCTGCCAGGTTTTGGTATCAGGGTGATGCTGGCCACATAAAATGAGTTAAGGAGGAATCCCTCTTTTTCTATTGTTTTGAATAGTTTCAGAAGAAATGGTACCAGCTCCTCTTTGTACCTCTGGTAGAATTCGGCTGTGAATCCACCTGCTCCTGGACATTTTTTGGTTGGTAGGCTATTAATTACTGCCTCAATTTTAGAACTTGTTATTGGTCTGTTCAGGGATTTGACTTTTTCCTGGTTTAGTCTTGCGAGGGTATATGAGTCCAGGAATTTATCCATTTCTTCTAGATTTTCTAGTTTATTATAAACTAGAAATACTAGTTTATAGTATTCTCTGATGGTAGCTTGTATTTCTGTGGGATTAGAGGTGATATCCCCTTTATCATTTTTTATTGTTCCTGTTTGATTCTTCTATCTTTTCTTCTTTATTCATCTGGCTAGTGGTCTATTTATTTTGTTAATCTTTTCAAAAAACCAGCTCCTGGATTCATTGATTTTCTGAAGGGTTTTCCATGTCTCTATCACCTTCAGTTCTGCTCTGATTTTAGTTATTTCTTTTCTTCTGCTAGCTTTTGAATATTTTTGCTCTTGCTTTTCTAGCTCTTTTTATTGTGATATTAGGGTGTCAATTTTAGATCTTTCCTGCTTTCTCTTGTAAGCATTTAGTGCTGTAAATGTCCCTCTAAACACTGCTTTAGCTGTGTCCCAGAGATTCTGGTACGTTGTGTCTGTTCTCATTGGTTTCAAAGAGCTTATTTATTTCTGTGTTAATTTCATTACTTACCCAGTAGTCATTTAGGAAAAGGTTGTTCAGTTTCCATGTAGTTGCATGGTTTTGAGTGAGTTTCTTAATCTTGAGTTCTAACTTGATTGCACTGTGGTCTGAGAGACTGTTTATTATGATTTCCGTTCTTTTGCACTTGCTGAGGAGTGTTTTACTTCCAATTATGTGGTCAATTTTAGAATAAGTGCATTGTGGTGCTGAGAAGAATGTATATTCATTGATGTGGGGTGGAGAGTTCTGTAGATGTTTATTAGGTCCACTTGTTCCAGAGCTGAGTTCAAGTCCAGAATATCCTTATTAATTTTCTGTCTTGTTGATTTGTCTAATATTGACAGTGGGGTGTAAAAGTCTCCCTATTATTGTGTGGGAGTCTGAGTTTCTTTGTCTGTCTCTAAGAACTTGCTTTATGAATCTGGGTACTTCTGTATTGGGTGCATATATATAGTTAGCTCTTCTTGCTACATTGATCCCTTTACTATTATGTAATGCCCTTGTTTGTCTTTTTTGATCTTTGGTTGTTTAAGGTCTGTTTTATCAGAGACTAAGATTGCAATCTTTTTTTTTTTTTTTTTGTGCTTTCCATTAGCTTGGTAAACATTCCTCCATCCCTTTATTTTGAGCCTATGTGTGTCTTTGCACATACAATGGGTCTCCTGAATATAGCACACCAATGGGTCTTGACTTTTTATCCAATTTGCCAGTCTGTGTCTTTTAATTGGGGCATTTAGCCCATTTACATTTAAGGTTAATATTGTTATGTGTAAATTTGATCCTGTCATTATGACGCTAGCTGGTTATTTTGCCTGTTAGTTGATGGCAGTTTCTTCTTAGTGTCGATGGTCTTTACAATTTGGTATGTTTTTGCAGTGGCTAGTACCGGTTTTTTCTTTCCAAAACTCCATGGGAGTTTTATGGGACTTACTTTGGAGTTATTTCCCCTTTCTTTTTTCCTAATTCTTCCTTTAGAATGGGTATGTTTACTTTGTGCTGATGTCACCATTGTATTTTGGAAACATATAACTTGTTTGATTTCATAAGCTCACAGTTGGAGAAGAATCTGCCTCAGCTTTCCTCAGGAGCTCTTGTAAGGCAGGCCTGGTGGGGACAAAATCTCTCAGCATTTGCTTGTCTGTAAAGGATTTTATTTCTCCTTTGCTTATGAAGCTTAGTTTGGCTAGATATGAAATTCTGAGTTGAAAATTCTTTTCTTTAAGAGTGTTGAATATTGGCCCCTACTCTCTTCTGGCTTGTAAGGTTTCTGCAGAGAGATCCTCTGTTAGTCTGATGGGCTTTCCCTTGTGGGTAACCTGACCTTTCTCTCTGGCTGCCCTTAACATGTTTTCCTTCATTTCAACCTTGGTGAATCTGACAAGTATGTGTCTTGTGGTTTCTCTCTCAAGGAGTATCTTTGTGATATTCTCTGTATTTCCTGAATTTGAATGTTGCCTGTCTTGCTAGGTTGGGGAAGTTCTCCTGGATAATATCCTGAAGAGTGTTTCCCAGCTTTGTTCCCTTCTCCCTGTTACTTTCAGGTACACCAATCAAACATAGGTTTGGTCTTTTCACATAGTCCCATATTTCTTGGAGGCTTTGTTCATTCCTTTTCATTCTTTTTGCTCTAATCCTTTCTTCACGCTTTATTTCATTAAGTTGATCTTCAATCTCTGATATCCTTTCTTCTACTTGATCAATTTGGCTATTTATACTTGTGTATGCTTCACGTGCTGTATTTTTCAGCTCCATCAGGTCATTTATCTTCTTCTCTAAACTGGTTATCTTACTTAGCTGTTCCTCTAACCTTTTCTCAAGGTTCTTAGCTTCCCTGCATTGGGTTAGAACATGCTCCTTTAGCTCAGAGGAGTTTGTTATTACCTGCCTTCTGAAGCCTACTTCTGTCAATTCGTCAAACTCATTCTCCATTCAGTTTTGTTCCCTTGCTGGTGAGGAATTGTGATGATTTAGAGGAGAAGAGGCTTTCTTGTTTTTGGAATTTTCATCGTTTTGTGCTGGTTTTTCCTCATGTTCGTGGATTCATCTACTTTTGGTCTTTGATGTTGGTGACCTTCAGATGGGGTTTTTGTGTGAATGTCCTTTTTGTTGATGTTGATGCTATTTTTTTCTGTTTGTTAGTTTTCCTTTTAATAGTCAGGTCCCTCTGCTGCAGGTCTGCTGGAGTTTGCTGGGTGGTCCACTCCAGAACCTGTTTGCCTGGGTATCACTAGTGGAGGCAGCAGAACAACAAAGATTGCTGCCTGTTCCTTCCTTGGAAGATTTGTCCCAGAGGGACACCCTCCAGATGCCAGCCAGAGCTCTCCTGTATGAGGTGTCTGTCGACCCATGCCAGCTAGTGTCTCCCAGTCAGGAGGCACATGGGTCAAGGATCCACTTGAGGAGGCAGTCTGTCCCTTAGCAGAGCTCAAGCGCTGTGCTGGGAGATCCACTTCTCTCTTCAGAGCCAGCAGGCAGGAACATTTAAGTCTGCTGAAACTGTGCCCACAGCCACCCCTTCCCCCAGGTGCTCTGTCCCAGGGAGATGGGAGTTTTATGGGACTTACTTTGGAGCTATTATCCCTTTCTTTTTTCCTAATTCTTCCTTTTAGAATGGGTATGTTTACCTTGTGCTGATCCCACCATTGTATTTTGGAAACATATAACTTGTTTGATTTCATAAGGTAACAGTTGGAGAAGAAACCTGCCTCAGAATGAATCATACCTTGAGTCTCACCCATATATGATTCAGGTGACTTTTTTTTTTGAGATGGAGTTTCACTCTGTCACCCAGGCTGGAGTGCAATGGCACAATCTCAACTCACTGCAACCTCTGCCTCCTGGATTCAAGCGATTCTCAGTATCCCTAGTAGCTGGGATTACAGGCACGTGCCATCACGCACAGCTAATTTTTACAATGTTAGTAGAGATGGGGTTTCACCATGTTTGCCAGGCTGGTCTCAAACTCCTGACCTCAGGTGATCCACCTGCCTTGGCCTCCCGAAGTGCTGGGATTACAGGCGTAAGCCACTACATCCAGCCCAGATGATATTTTGATGAGACTTTGAACGTTAAACTTTTGAGTTAATGCTAAAATGTTTTAAGACTTTTGGAGCTATTAGAATCAAAAGAATGTATTTTGCATATGAGAAAGACATAAATTTTGGGAAGCAAGGTCACAATGTTATGGTCTGAATTTTTGTGTTTCCCCAAATTCAGACCATCTAATCCTCAAGGTGATGGTATTAAGAGTTGGGGCCTTGGGAAGGTGACTGGGTCTTTGGGAGGATTCCGCCATTATGAATGGAATTCATTTTCTCATAAAAGAATTCTGAGGGAGTTTGTTCACTCCTTCTGCCAAGCGCAAACAAAGCTAGAAGGTGCTATATTTGAAGCAGAGAGCAAAGCAGAGAGACAGACACTGAATCTCCTGAGACCTTGATTTTGGACTTTCTAGCCTCCAGAACTGTGAGCAATAAATCTTAGTTGTTACAAATTACCAATTTGTAAGATATTTTGTTAAGCAGCCCAAATGGACTAAGAAACTTCTCTTATTTTTTCCTCAAAGACAAAGTCTCTAACATTTCACCATAGAGCATATTTGCTAAAATGTATCAGATTAAGAAAAATTCCTTCCATTTTAGCTATTAGTTTCTTTTGAAGTCATAAATGGATATTTAATTTTATCAGATGTTTTTGTTTTTTGCATTCCTGACCAGACCATCATATGGTTTTTCTAGTTTATTTGCTAATGTGATGAACTACACTGATTAATTTAAAATGTTTAAAAACTTTGAATTCCTGGTGTAAACCAAACTTGGTTATGATATGTTATCTTTTTTAATTGCTAGATTTATCTATATTTTGGTTGGGATTTTAAATCCATGTTCATAAATGATATAGACTTACAACTTTCTCTTTTTGTAATACCCTTTTCAAGTTTTTGCATCGAGTTATGTTGGCCATAAAATGAGATGAACATGATTTCATCTTTAATAATTCTCAGGAACATTTAAAGTAATACTTGTAAAATTTATTTCTTTAAAACTTGGTGGAATTTACTCTAGTAGCCACATGAACTAGGATTTTTGCAGTGGAGGCTCTCTATGAGATAGATGTCCAAGCTGTCATTTTCATACAAGTGTCAGTTATTCAGAAGCTCTGTAATAACTTTCACCTCCACAGTTCCCTTATAAGGGAAATGTGTTTTTTTATCTGATCTATTCTAACAAACTTCAGCTTCTGAACCAGGTGACACATCTTTATAGTCTCTGAATTCTGAAGTCCCCTTGTCTTTACAGGTCAAACTCTAGAGAAGTGAACTCAGAAGATGGCTTGAGCTCAACTATCTTTCACAGTAATTACTTGGGCTAGAGAATAATCATATATTCTTACCGTATCAAATAATGAAACAGTAGGCTATCCCACAGTCCATTCCTTCTCTCCCATCATCCATCAACTGTGGTTGCCAGCTTTCCCATCAAATAATATTCTAGTAAAGAAGCAAGCACCCAATACTCTATGTTCACATATATCCTCCACATCCCCCTGAAGAAAATTCCAGGTACTCAAAGATAAGACTTTTTTCCATGGACTCCTTACTGATGGTTTCAAGGCATTCTCTTGGAGCTTATAAGACTCAGCTTAGGAAGTACAGAAATAAAAGTGAAATATATAAGGTAATGTATTATTTGATAAAAGTTGATTCCAAATAAGCATAGAAAGATGAAGTATTCAGGAAACGGTATTGGCACAATTCTTAGCCATCAGGAAAAAATATAGTTTAATACTTACTTCATATCTTATACTTAAAAAAATTCCAGACAGATCAAAGATTTAAACATATAAAAGAAAAAAAGCATATTAGAGAGAACATAATTTTTTTGTTTTTATTAATTTTTATTATTATCTTGAAGTGAGGAAGGACTTTTTAAATAAGACACAAATTCAGAGCCATAAAAGATAACAAAAAATAGAATTGCAAAAAATTCTTTAAAGTAAGAACCATCTTAAACAAAGTCATAAAGCAAACAAAAGCAGGGAAGATCATTGCAAATTACACTATAGAGAAAGCTAACTTCCCTAATATGCAAACAGTTTTCACAAATCTCTATGAAGGCCAACAACTTTACAGACAAATGGACAAAGAATAGAAACAGAATGTCACAAAACAGGAAAAGATGTTCAATTTCACTTAAGATATACAAAAATTTTACTGATATTATAATAACATACTACTCTTTACTTAACAAACTGACCAGGATGGAAAGTTTGATTATACATTGTAGTTAGAAAGGTTGTAGGAAAGTAGACATTCTAAACATTGGTGGTGGGAGTATAGTTTGACACAACCTCTGTGGAGGGCTACAACCTAGAAATAAGGATTAACTGAAATTAAATTAGGCTTTAATGGGAATAAAATCCAACTTTCAAAGACCTGATGTCTGCTTGAATTATGTTGTTCTGACCCTTCAATAGTTTTTTAACCTAGACTGCCAGAGGAAATGTAGATACTTTCTGGAGGAAAGTATCATCTAGAACCTCAAATTATAATGTTCATTTCTCAATTAAAAAAAAAACCAGGAACAACTAATAAAAAAATCATACAAACTGGCATACATGAACATAATATAATGTGACCCAAAACTAAGAAATGTAATAGACTAGATACCAAATATGGAAGTATCAAACACATATTTAAAGTAACACATTTTAAAGTCATACATTCAATATGTTCAAAGAAATAAAGAATAGAGTGATAATTTAGGAAGAGAACAGGATGTTTTAAAATAATCAAATGTAAGGTCTAGAACTGAAAAATAAAATAGCTGAAATTGAACTCCATAGGTGGATCTACCATCAGATCAGACACAGTTGAAGAGGGAGTTAGTGAACTCTAAAGGATAAGTCAAAAGAAAGTATCCAAAATGAAATATAAAGAGAAAAAAAGACAATATAAAAACAAACAACACAGTTTAAGTGTAATAAAATCCTAACAATCTCCTACTAACATCAAAATTGGGAACACTATCACAGGTTTGACTTCAAGAAAGAACAAAAAACCATAATGTAAATTTAAATTATTTTTCTTATATATTGTTTAATCTAATAAAAATCCAGGTAAGGGCTTCTTTTCATTTTTAGGACTTAAGCAAGGAACATCTAAAAAATCAAACATATTAGCTAAATAATACATATCATAAAAAAGTTTAATTACTTACATTCCATATGCTGAGCTTACAGCAAGACTAGTAATCTGTTGTGGAGGTTCACCATCTACCCACACCAATTGAATAACAAGTTCTGCTTGATATCCTGGAGGCATTCGCACTGGCCGTGTCTTCACACTTTAAGAACAAAAACAATCCTATTATATACAGCTTAAATAAACATGGTCAAACTTATCTTGAGAATTTACATAGAATCATGCTACAGAAATATACAACACCAGGCATTGCAGGCAGCATGCAGATGGATGGTGCCTTCTAGTTTTCTCAAAATATGCTGAGTCCCTTATGATTACTTAGTTATTTCTTTATGTGGCTTTTCAGCCAGTTAGGTCCACAACTTCAACTGGCCTTTATCATTTCAATTTTTTCTTTTGAGAATATTATTTTAAGTTATTTTTATTATGTAATTATTTTTCTAATGTAATATATGTTACATATATATCAGTTATAAAGCATAACAATAAAACAAATGACCATTAACCTACCCTCCAGTGTAAGAGTTCAACATATCTAGCATCTGAATTCCTATTTTCCTTTAAAGCTGACTAATATCTTTCTCTCATACTTCCCAACAAACCAATTATCAAATACTACTGATGCTACTTTCAAAAAATATATCCACTAGCTAAAATTTTATGATGATGTTTTCTCTTTGTAGATTTTCCTCCCAGTAATATTTGCTCATATTTCCTTCTTTTTATGTACATCAAAAGAAAATTTTGAGAGGACAATCAATGATTACAAAAGTATAGCATCTGCTAATTGCATGAATTTTGCTCCTAAAATCTTATCTCTAAATTTTCCATAAGCATATTTGTAAGAAATGAGAAAACTAGCTGTCTAAAGTTTTTTGAGTGGCAAATGTAGATATGCAGCTCAAAGAAATTCCCTGCTTAGGTTTAATTCTCCAGCCAGCTAACACTAGAAATATTTGATTTGATGGTATAGAAGCAGTAAGTAGTAATTTATACTCTATTACTAAAATCATAAAATATTACTATGGGCTTTGTTAACTTTAGGTTTTATTGAACATGATGCAAATCTTTGTTTAGCTTATTAATAAATAGTTTTAAAAAAGAAAGATTATGAAATATACTAGCAATCATGAGAGAAATCCTTTTTTCTAATATAGAACTCTTGTAGTAGATAGTAAACTTGGTTTTCTTTTTGATTCCAAGAAAGCTAAAGAAATTACATAAACATACTTCTTTAAAAAATTATCATTATTATTTTTTTGGAGACAGGGTCTTACTGTCACCCAGGCTGGAGTGCAGTGGCAAGACCATAGCTCACTGCAACTTTAAACTCCTGAGCTAAAGTGATTGTCCCGCCTCAGCCTCCCTAGAAGCTGGAGCTACAGGTGTGTACCATCACACCCAGTTAATTTTTAAATTTTTTGTAGATACAAGGTCTTGCTATGTTGCCCAGGCTGCTCTCAAACTCCTAGTCTCAAGCATTCCTCCCACCTCAGCCTCCCAAAGTGTTGGGAATACAGGCGTGAGCCATCACACCCCATAAACATACTTTTTCAATTGGAAATATCATGCATGTCACCAAGTTTCTGCCCTGCCAAACTTCCTATTCTGTGAAAGCCATGTTTTCTTTAGAGTCCTTCTGGGAAGGAAATATATAAATAAGTGAATGAAGGGTGAAAATATTATGCCCTCTTCACAGATGTTCAAAGAAAAGACCAGAGTAACCCCTGAAGAATTGTAGATCACCTGACAATAGCTTGATAATAAGAGAAAATTAATTTCATTTGTCACAGTTTCAAAGACATATGATTAATATCTAAAATTGTTTGAAAATTTGGTAGAAACTCTTACTTGAGGCATGGAATACTGTCCTTTGTTACTCCTTCACTAGCAACAGTGTTAGTGCTCCCAGAAAGACTCCTTGAAGAAGGAAGCTGGGCTGAGAGATCTGGAAACGGAGGACTTGTTTCTGGTTCAGGGGTAATAATATCTTCAACATCATACTGAAGTCGTACCTCTAATGACTTAAAAAAATCAAGTTTAAATTTAATTTAAGTCACACTAATAATCATCGTTTTAATTTAATCTAAGTCATAATAAATAATCACATTAAAATACCTGATAACTTTTTAGGAATCATTCACACAGTTTTTTTCAAATTAATAAGTTCAATACTATTTACAGGAAAGTTGAGAAGTATCTCATACTAAATCAAATAGTTAATTATATGGAATATTCAATGGCAATCACAAAAAATGTAAATTTTTAAACTTCAGAATTAAAAGAAAAATACCTCAGTGAAGATAAAGTTTTTATATAATAAATATACTTTAAGATATAGTATAAATTACAATTTATATATTACAATTTGATATATGATAAAATAAAAGGAGAAGTTGATTATGGTTATTCCAATGAAAGAAATTAAACTTTTTTCATATACACACACAAACGTGTATATGTGTGTGTAGTGTGTATGTTTGTGTGTGTATGAAAAAATTACTTGTTTAAAGCCTTTTAGTATAAAAAACTTTCATTGCATTTTAACTTTGCATTAATTCACTAAAAATTTTCCAAACAAAATTCCATATTTTTGGTTGTTTATTTCATTACCTTGGCTTTTGTTTAATCTAATTAGCAGATCAGAATTACTTGATAAAAAACATATAATAATTTACATAGGAATAAAAAGGTGACCTAAAAACCTTTATTAAACTAAAAAAGTTTTAAAACTAAATACTTTATGAATGCATAAAATGCATTAAATGATTTAATTAGAACTGATTTTATAACACATATTTGCCTTATAATGTAAAAATGAGCATTTTTAAGATTGAAAACAATTACTTACAAAAATGTCATTATGGGAATATCACCAAAATTATTGTCATAATTATTTTAAAACTACAGAAAAACCTCTGGTGGTGACAAAACAGTTACCAATTATTGAGTGCTTACTACAGTAAGGACACTATTATAATGTCTTTATATAATCATCACAAGAACCCTATGAAATTGGTATTTATATTCCAAGTTTATTTTTATTTTCCATTTTCCCATTTTATTTACACAGGGAATTGTACATGTGATGAAACTGAATCATAGCTACATTCTACTACTGACTTATGGCTTGTTCAGAGTCACACAGATATTTAATGGGAAAGCCAGAATTAAAACCTAGGTTTATCTGACTCAAAGCCTTAGCTTTCAGCTACTATACAATAAAAGGGTGATATTAATTTTAGCTGTTGAGGTAAAAACACTTATACCCAGGCCTATAGTAAATAATCTTTATATTCTGGTAAAAGGGGCAAGGTAGAGAAGGACAGTTGTTTATAGGTGGCTTCATTTAGAATTAATTTATCCCATAAAATCATTATTCTTTTGAATAAGCAGAGTATTTCGTTGATTTAAAAATTAAGATTAGGTAAGGTTGCCCCATAATTAGATCTACCCCATAAAAATGTTGCTACATAGAAAATCATTAAAAATAACCTTATTGTAGCTGAGAAATAATTATTTATGTCAAACAGTTGATGAGAAAATACAAATCAGATAAACTTAAAAATTAATAAAAGTATAGAACAAAGCCTGCATTAATTTGATTTTTATACAAAAATAAATCAATAACTATATGTATAAAACCTATACATTTTATTAGTATATATAGAAGAATATATAGGTGTATATTCCACAATATATACATAGTTCAAAACATCATGTTGTAGAGTTGACTTATTTCGGCCAGGTAGATGCAACTCATGTAACATCAAAGAGAAAAGTGAGAAAATTGTAACATGTTTAATTTGTAACAAGATTAACTTAAATACTAAGCTTGTTTTGACATTGAAAAAAATACCAAGTTTTGATAGAGAATTGTTTTGGCCTTTTAGGCCAAATCATTTATTAATATGTTATAGTAAGTAACAATAATAATTTAAAATCCTGTGAATTGTATTACTAGCCACATACTGCACACTTCATGGAAACCATACCAAGTAGTAGTCAAATCTATGATAATAGCTTTCTTTTAATAACTGTAAAAGTGAAAGTTAAATTTTAAATAACTTACCACTATTTCTGTTGTAATTTCATGTCTGCTGAATTTATAAATTATGACATATGCAGAGACTCCTGATACACAGAATATTCTGCTCTCTGGACACCAGTAAATCATCTGAATGGCAAATGGGTCTTCCTCTACAATTTCACATGTTTGTTTTCCTTCTCCTACCTTCTGTTTTTCAAACACTTTTGAAGTTTTTAGCTTGTACAGCATCTGCAGAGTTACTATAAGACATCGAAGCACAGTTATCTTCTAATTTAAACTTAATTCTTAGATGTTATTAAAGCTTTTCCAATATATTTGTTAAACAACAAAAGTAAACCTAAGTAGACAAAGTGAATTACATTTTAACCAGTAAAGCATTCAATGCCACGCTTTCATATCAGTACAGCAGCTAGAGGGAGACTACAGGGAAAAAAATAAACATTCCTTGAATATATACTACATACCAAGGAATATATAGTTGCTTTCTTGTGTCATTCTCAGAAAAGTCTCATGAAGGAAGTATTTTTATCATTATTTATTGATAAAAATATTGGGGCACAGAAAGTCTAAAATGGGAATACTGAAAATAATTCTTCCCTAGCGGAGACTCCTCTATTCTTTATCTCAGTTTTCCCCTTTGATTGTTAGGTGAGAGGTTGATGGTATTCCTAGAGGGTTTACTACTCTCAACAAATTTTTAGACACTCCTTCAGATAAGAAACATTGTAATTTACCAGTTAGCAATATTGGGAGTCCAAGAATCTGTAACTATTTGAGAAGGGATCTTTTCTGAGTGGCTCTGTGTCAAGAAAGGGTCAGATATAATCTCATACATTGTGTTTGTGAACTGTTTTTAAGAATATTTGGGGGAATATTTTTCCATTGGAGACCATGATGATAATAACTCTATAAAAGAACTATGATTCTACAAAGGATCCTTGAGTAAAGTTTTAAATATGAATCCTGTGAAAAGTGCATCACCTGAATCTAATAATGAGAAACATTAGTCAAAACCAGACTGAAGGAGATTCTATAAAATAACCGGCCTGAACTCCTCAAAAATGTCAGTGTCATGAAATGAAGACTCAGGAACTTTTCCAGAGTTTTTAAAACTCAGAAGATACAATGACTAAATGCAAAAATAATCCTGGATTTTTTTGTCGTAAAGAATATTAATTTGCGGCCGGGCGCAGTGGCTCACGCCTGTAATCCCAGCACTTTGGGAGGCCGAGGTGGGCGGATCACCAGGTCAGGAGATCGAGACTATCCTGGCTAACGTGGTGAAACCCCGTCTCTACTAAAAATACAAAAAAAAAAAAAAAAGAAAAAAAAAAAATTAGCGGGGCGTGGTGGCGGGCGCCTGTGGTCCCAGCTACTCTACTGGGGCTGAGGCAGGAGAATGGCGTGAACCCAGGGGGCGGAGCTTGCAGTGAGCCGAGACTGCGCCACTGCACTCCAGCTTGGGCAGACAGAGCGAGACTCCGTCAAAAAAAAAAAGTATATATATTTATGTGTATATATACATATATATACACATATATATGTATATATATAAATTTGCAAAAGCTGAATAAAATCCGGAGATTAGATAATAGTGTTGTGTCAGTGTTAATCTACTGGTTTTGATGACTGAAGTCTGGTTATGTAAGTGAATGTTTGTAGGAAATACACACTGAAGTATTTAGGGGTATGTAATGTGTCTCCAACTTACTCTCAAATGCGTAAGAAAAAAAGCTATATGTATATATGTATGTGTGTGAGAGAAAAATGTATGGAAGGAAGAGATAAAGAGTAAAAGAGAGAGCCAGGGAGAGGAAAGGAATATTTGGAGAATCTGGTTGAGAGGTATAAACCATTTCATAGTACTTTTTTTTTTTTTGCAATGTTTTTGTAAGCTTGAAATTATGTCAAGCTAAAATAGATTTTTTAAAAAATAGACAAAGGATTGTATTGCGTGCTATAGCCTGGCTTCTGAGGTCAGATAGGGTATCATTCCTATGATTATTTATGTTACATGACAACAGTAAAATGATATTGCAGACATCATTAAGGTCCCTAATTAGTTGACTTTGAGTTAATCAACAAAGAGCTTATTCTTAACAGCCAAAACCTAATCAGATGGCCCCCTTAAAAGAGGGACTGAGGCCCTCCCTGAAGGTAAAGAGACACTCTTGCTAGCTTTGAAGCAGCAAGCTACCATGAGCTCTGAATGTGCAAGAAAATGAAGTCTGCCAACGATTACATAAGCTTGGAAGAGAACCTTCAGTCTCATGAAACCTCAGCCCCAGCCAACACCTTGATTACAGTCTTGTGACACCCTGAGCAAAGGACCCAGCGAAGGTATAATCAAATTCCTAACACACAGAAACAGTGAGATGATAAATGGGTATTGTTTTAAGTTGTTAAATTGTGGTAATTTATTACTCAGCAATAGAAAACTAAGATACATAATAATATAAACTCAGTTATTCAAATTCATTTTGCTTTCTGTATTAGACAGTGTTTCACAAAGTTAGCAAACTAAGTAATTTTTTTAAGACATCCATTAAGTTGGAGATATGACCTTGATTACAGTGAAAATATTAAACATGCTGCAATCATTTGCAATTTATATTCTAAATGTGATAAAATATTTATTTAAAAATTAACTTCTCAAAATATTATTATGCATGCTTAAGGGTGTTATTCACTCTAATAATTAAAGTGTTAAAGTGTCCTCTAAATTTTATTTTATTTATTTATTTATTTATTTGTTATTTTTCTTTTTGGAGATGGAGTCTTGCTCTGTCACCCAGGCTGGAGCGCAGTGGTGTGATCTCGGCTCACTGCAACCTCTGCCTCCCAGATTCCAGCAATTCTCCTGCCTCAGCCTCCCGAGTAGCTGGGACCACAGGCGCATGCTGCCACACCCAGCTAATTTATATTATATATTTTTTAGTAGAGACAGGGTTTCACCGTGTTGCCCAGGCTGGTTCTGAACTCCTGAGCTCAGGCAATCTGCCTGCTTAGGCCTCCCAAAGTGCTAGGATTACAGATGTGAACAACTGCGCCTGGCCCTCCACATTTTAAAAGCCAAAAAGTGACTTTGAGGTGGTGGGAAAGGAGCAATGGCATCACTATGCAATGAATTTTGTTCCAGGAACAAACTCAGGTTTGCATGAGAAGATTCATCAACAGAAAGTCTGTTGTCCTTTGGAGTTTCTCTTTAGGCAGTTGCTTTTTATTATGTGAAGTCAGAAGGGGACTTCAGAATGTGTGGGTTTAGATCTTTTAATCCTTTTCTCTTGCTGATAGTTAGTTTGCTTGCTCAAGGGACTCTACCTTGTGGGCTAAGAGTATCATCAATATTCAACCTTCTTCCTCTGCTTGTGTGTTTATTGCAGTCTTCCTCAGAAGCTATTCATTTCTACAGCTTCAAACATCACTTTTATGCTGCTTCTTCATTGGTTTCCATTTCTGACTGTTCTCCTTACCTGCTGGATATTTTTACTTGAATTTTATGGTTTTACTAAAAAATTCAAAGCTCTCTTTTATTCCTTATTTCCAAAAGAGTTACCTACATCTTCCTGGTTACTCATCTTCAGAAACTTAGAGTCACTGTTAACTTGTTCTTCACTCCTATTCCTGTCAAAAGTTAACTAACTTCCAAAACTCACACTAAATGTTAACTCCATCAAAATACCTTTCCTGGATCTACCAGGTCTCAATAAGACTCTCCCATTTCTGATAGCAAACAGATCTGGGGTACTGCATTGAGAGTTCTTATATTGTTTTCCCTATAGTTATATATGTGCATTTCTTTATCTTTTCTAATGACTACAATTTTTCTGAAGGGTATATATGAGTATAATGAAGTCTTAAGTATCTTTGCATTCCTTCAACATTGAGCAGAGTACCTTATTTATTCTGTAAGTTACATAATTCTCAAGAATTTAAAAAGAGTTCTTATAGTTATCAAATCATTTGATCTTTGCAGGATGTGGTAGATGAGTGGGGAAAAAAAAGTGAAGACTAGAGGGATATAAGCACTTGGCGAAGACCACACAGGTAGAGGGTGAAGGAAATTCCTTGAACAGAGTTAATTTAACAGAGTTTGGTACTTTTTCTGATGTATCATGCCTCTTGTAGATATAATGGGTTGCTGACAAAGAGTGACTTAGTCTTGTTTACCTTATATTATAGAAGAGAAGTAAAGCAGAGATAATACTTTCAACTGATCTAACAGTGTAGGTAATAGATTTTTGTAACACAGCCACATATGTGTGCTAAAAATATATCTGAAATTTTAATTGCCCAAACTAAAAAGTGGTAGCTGGCTATAAGTAAATATTAACCAATTGGTTTCTGTTGTACAGAAACTTGAAACTTACTTGCAGAAGCATCCCAAAATTTTATTGATCCATCTGCATGACTAGATGAGAAATAAATTAGCATTAATTAAAGTATACTAAATAAAAATCATAATCACTCCAAATGTACAGAAACTTGAGTTACTGTTGATACAATTTTGATTCAAAAATACCACTTTAATGAAAACTAATGTATGCTAAACCATTTCTAAGCTTAAAACAATGGCTCATTTCTTAAACAATATACTAAAATCTAAAGATTAGAAAAAGAACAATAATTCCTTAGACTTTACTGTAAAAAGGTTATATATGTAATGGAGAACAATGAAAAATGGCCTGTGGAAAGTGAACAACATATTTTCATGTAAAATTATTTATATTCAATAAAAGGATAGATAATTTTGATATTAATATAAATATGAATTGAATATCATAGTAAAATTCAGTTAAGTTTCAAAATATAAAAGCAAATCACCAAATATATCTAGAGTTGCATCATTATTTGGTAATAATCAAATGTCAATTCTATAAAAACTCATCGAGAAAATAGAAGAAGATAAAATACTTCCCAACACTTTTGATGAACTCAGCATTACCCTGACACCAAAACCACATAAAAACATTACAAGAAGAGAAAATTACAAACCGATATTCCTCATGAGAATAGGCATAAAAATTGTCAACAAAATATTGGCAATACAAATCAAGTAATATATAGAAAGGATAGTACATAATGACTAAGTGGGTTTTCTTAGGAATGTAAGGCAAACACTTAAAAAATCAACTACCATATTAAAATTCACCATATTGACAGATTACAAAAGAAAATCCATATAGTCATCTCAATAAATGCAGAAAAAGCATTTGACATGATTTATCATCCATTCCTAAAAAAAACTTTCAATAAACTAGGAACACAGGAAATTTCTATAACCAGATAAAGGGTGTGTAGGAACAACCTACAGATATCTCCTAACATACATAATAATGAAAGATTGCATGTTTTCCCCTAAGATCAGGAGCAAAGCCAAAAAAATGTTCACTCTCACCATTCTTATTCAACATCTTATTGGAGGTGTTAAGCACTGAAATAGGGAAGAAAAAGAAATAAAAGGCATACAGACTAAAAGGGAAGAAATAAAATTGTTTGTATTTGCAGATTATATGGCTATGTAGAAAATCTCAGAGATTCTATAAAAAGGATACTGGAACTCATAAATGATTAGCAAAATTGTAACACACAATATCAATATACAAAAATCAATTGCATTTCCATTGAATAGCAATAGACATTTGGAAATAACAAAATAGTACCACTTACAACAGTGCCAAAACCAAGAAATAGATAAAATCTAACACAATTTGTGCCAGATCTGTATGCTGAAAATTGTAAGATGTTGACCAAAAAATAAGGCATTAATAAAAGGAGATATATATTATTGATAATTGTATGACTTATTAGATGTTTGTTCCCCTAAATGGCATATAAATTCAATGTAATCACAATTAAAATATGGTAAAACAATTTTTTGTAGAAATAAACAAACTGATGGTCATACGCCCAAAGCAATGTGCAGATTCATCACTATTCCTATCAAACTACAAACATCATTCCTCACAGAAGTAGAAAAAAAAACTATTCAAAATTTCATATGAAACCAAAAAAGAACCTGTATAGCTAAACAAAAAGAACAAAGCAGGAGGCATCACACTACTCAACTTCAAACTATACTATAAGGCTACAGTAACCAAAACAGCATGGTACTGGTACAAAAACAGACACATAGACCAATGGAACAGAAGAGAAAACTGAGAAAGCCTCACACCTACAACCATGTGACCTTTGACAAGGCTGACAAAAACAAACAATGGGGAAAGAACTCCTTATTCAATAAAGGGGTGCTGGGATAACTGGCTAGCCATATGCAAAAGAGTGAAAACTAGACCCTTACCTTTCACCATATACAAAAATTAACTCAAAATGGATTAAAGATTTAAATGTAATACCTCAAACTACTAAAATCCTAGAAGAAAACCTAAGAAATACTCTTCTTGATATCAGCCTTGGCAAAGAATTTATGGCCAAGCCCCCAAAAATGATTGTGACAAAACCAAAAATTGACATGTAAGAACTAATTAAACTCAAGAGCTTCTGCACAGCAAAAGAAACTATCAACAGACTAAACAGACAACCTACACAATGGGAGAAAATATTTACAAAGTATGCATCTGACAAAGTATGTCTAATACCCAGAATCCATGAGGAACTTGAACAAACCAAAAAGCGAAAACCAGATAATCCCATTAAAAAGTGGGCAAAAGACATGAACAGATGCTTCTCAAAAGAAGACATACAAGCAGCCAACAAACATGAAAAAATGCCATCATCACTAATCATTAGAGAAATGAAAATCAAAACATGGCCAGGCACGGTGGCTCATGCCTGTAATCCCAACACTTTGGGAGGCCGAGGCCAGCAGATTACCTGAGGTCAGGAGTTCTAGACCAGCCTGGCCAAAATGGTGAAACCCTGTCTCTACTAAAAGTGCAAAAATTAGCCAGGCATGGTGGCACATGCCTATAATCCCAGCTACTGGGGAGGCTGAAGCAGGAGAATTGCTTGAGCTCAGGAGACAGAGATTGTAGTGAGCCGAGACTGTGCCACTGCACTCCAGCCAGGCCAACAGAGCAAGAGTCTGTCTCAAAAATCAAAAAAAAGAAGAAAAAAAAAGAAAATCAAAACACAGTAGGATACCATCGTACAACAGTCAGAATGGCTATTATTAAAAAGTCAAATAGTAACAGATGCTTGCCAGATGGCAGAGAAAAGAGAATGCTTAAACATTGTTGGTAGGAATGTAAATTAGTTAAGCCACTACTGAAAGTAGAAAGCGGTTGGGAGATTTCTCAAAGAACTCAGAGCTACCATTTGACCTAGCAATCCCATTACTGGGTATATAACCAAAGCAATATAAATCATTATACCTAAAAGGCACATGCACTCATATGTTCATTGCCATGCTATTTACAATGGCATGTGGAATCAACCTAGGTACCCAACAACAGTGGATTGGATAAAGAAAATATAGTACATATATACCATGGAATATTACACAGCCATAAAAAAAGAGTGAAATCATGTCCTTTACAGCAACATGGATGGAGCTGGAGGCTATAATCCTAAGTAAGCCAGCACAGGAACAGAAAACTAAATACCACATGTTCTCACATATAACTGGGAGCTAAACATTAAGTACACATGGACATAAACACAGAAACAATAGACACTGCAGTCTACTAGAGTGGGGAGAGAAGGCGAGGGATTTGGATTGAAAACTACCTATTGGGTATTATGCTCGCTACCTGTGTCTAATATACCCATGTAACAATCCTACACATGTATCCCTGAATCTAAAATAAAAGCTGAAATTATTTTTTCAAAAGAAAAGAAACTAGATTAGCCAAAGCAATTTTGAAAAATAAAAACAAAGTTGGAGAACTCAAACTACATAAGGTTTAAGTCTCACCCTAAAGCTCCAATAAAGTTTTTGTGCTAGTGGTGAAAAACAGACACATATATCAGTGAAACATATTAGAGAGTCCAGAAATAGAACCATATGTATATAGCCAACTGATTTTTTATTTTGAGAGGGGGTTAGTCACTGAGTGGCTTACTCTACTTTAACAGCTTTATTCAGATGTAATTTACATAACTATAAAATTCACCCACTGGGAGTGTACAGTTTGATAATTTTTAGTAAATTTACACAGTTGTCACATTGACACCATCATCCAGTTTTAGAACATTTCCATTACCCCAAAAAGTTACCTCATGGCAATTTGCAACCCTCTTTCTCATCCCTAGTAGATCCCCAATAATCTACTTTCTGCTTATATAGATTCTTTTTTTCTTAGAATTTTTATATAAGTGGAACCCACATAATATCTACTACATTTTGTGTCTGCATTATGCACTTAGCGTAATGTTTTTGAGGATAATATTTCTTACATGTATTAATAATTTGTTCCTTTTTGTTGCTAAATAGTATTCCATTGTATGGATATGCTCTACTTACCCCTTCACCAAATGATGAACATTTGGGTTGTTTTCAGTTTTTGGCTGTTACAAATAAAGATGCTATGAATGACTTTGTATGTTTACTCTAATTATAAACTTATAGATATTTTTAAATTTTATTGCTGAAAAATCTGCAGGATGTTGATCTGAGACTCTATATACCCTTACAAAATTTAATTCTATTTTATTTTTCATCATGTAATACTTGATATGAAAATAACAATGTATGTAACATAGATTTAATATACAGAATATAATCGTATTGAAACCACTCAACCAAAGAACTAACATTACTAATAACTTGCATCTACAGATGTGTGGTCTAACAGAGCACTCCCCAACCTTTTTGGCACCAGGGACTAGTTTCGTGGAAAACAACTTTTCCACAGATGCGGGTGGTGAGAGATGGATTCGGGATGAAACTGTTCCACCTCAGATCATCAGGCATTAGTTAGATTCTCATAAGAAGCGTGCAACCTAGATCTCTTGCATGTGCAGTTCACAATAGGGTTCGTACTCCTATGAGAATCCAATGCTGTCCCTGATCTAACAGGAGGCAGAGCTCAGGTGGTAATGCTCACTTGCCTGCCACTTACCTCCTGCTGTGTGGCCTAGTTCCTAACAGGCCATGGACTGGTACTGGTCTGCAGCCCAGGGGTTGTGGACCCCTGGCCTAACATATTACTTATCCTAGAACAAGGTCCATGTGTGCTTAAGGAGAATATTTTTCTCCTATTGCTAGGTATAGTGTTTTGTATGTCTGTTAGGCCCAATTGTTCTATAGTGTTTTTCAAATACCCTGTTTCCTTCTTGATCTTTTGTCTAGTTGATCTGTTCATTACTGAAAATGTGATATTGAAATATATTACTATTATTGTGTTATTCTGTTTGTTTCTTCAATTTTGTCAATGTTTGCTTCATATATTTTGATGCTCTGTTGTTATGTTCATACATATTTGTACTTTTTATATCTTTCTGTTGGATTGACTCTTTTATTATTAGGTAATGTCTTTCTTTGTCCCTTGTGAGTTATTGACTTAAAGTCCAATATAAATGTATTCATCTCATTTTCTTTTGGTTACAATTTGCATGGTACATCTTTTTCTATCCTTTCACTTTCAACCTATGTGTGTCCTTAAATCTAAAGTGAGTTTCTTGGAGGCAGCATATAGTTCTACTTTTTTCAATCAAGCCATTCTATGTCTTTTGATTAGGGAGTTTAATCAATTTACATTTAACATAATTATTGGTACAGAATAATTTACTAATGCCATTTTATTATTTTCTATATGTTATGTGGTTATTTTGACTTTCTTTTCTTCTCTTGCTGGCTTCCTTTGGGTTTTGTTTTTTTTTTTTAGTGACATACTTCTATTCCTTTTTCATTTTCTTTTGTGCACCTTCTATAGGCATTTTCTTCGTGTTTACCATCAGGATTACATAAAATATCTTCTAGTTATACCAATCTATTTTAAACTATAACAACTTTAACTACATACAAAAAATCTACTCCTTTACATTCACTATCTCTTCATGTTATTGATGTCACAAATTACATATTTTTATATTTTGCATCTATTATCATAGTATTATAGTAATTTTTATGTTGTTATTGTTTAAATTATATGCCAGAAATCAAAGTGATTTATCCACCATCTTTAAAATCTTACGATATTCTATATTTGTCTATAAATTCAACTTTACCAGAGAGCTTTTAAGTTTTTGTATGCTTCGGTGGTGTTGTCTAGTGTGTTTGTTTCAACTGAAGGAACTCTCAGCAATTCATGTAAGACATGTCTAGTTGTGATGAATTCCTTCAGTTTTTGTTTATATAGGGAGGTCTTATTGCTCCTTCATTTTTGAAGTTGGTTATGACAAATATAGCATTCTAAGTTGGTGGGGTTTTTTTTCTTTCAGCACTTTGAGTATATTATCCCACTCCCTTCTAGTCTGCCATGCTTCTGCTAAAAAACCTGCTGACAATCTCATGGGGATTTCCTTGCATGTGATAAGAACTTTTCTTCTTGATGCTTTCAAGATTTTCTTTTTGTTTTTGATTTTCGACAGTTTGATTATAATGTGTCTCTTTATGAGCTTCTTTGGGTTCATATTATTGGACTTGTTTAAGCTTCTTGAATTTGAATTTCCATTTCTTTCCTCCAACTTGGGAAATTTTTGACCATTATTTCTTCAAGTAAGCTCTCTGCTCCATTCTCTCTACTCCATTCTCTCTCTCTCTGTCTCTCTCTCTCTCTCCCCGCCCCTTCTTAAATTCCCATAATGTGTACATCAGTCCACTTGAATGTGTTTGTAAGGCTCTTAGGCCCTCTTCTTTTTGTTCCTCTGACTCAATAATTTCAAGTGACCTATTTTCAAGTTCACTGATTCTTTCTTCTGCTTGGCCAAGTCTGTTGTTGACACTCTGTAATGAATTTTTCAAATCAATTATCATATACTTCAGATCTAGAATTGTTTTTTTTTAATAATTTCAAACTCTGTTGATATTCTCATTTTGTTCATGCATCATTTCCCTAATTTTGTTTAGTTTTCTATTTGTATTCTCTAATATATTGAGTTTCTTTAAGATGATTATTTTGAACTCTTTGTCAGGTAATACACAGATTTCTGTTTCTTTAACCCTTTTCCCATTTAGAATAAAAAGTACAGTTTGCTTCCAGTGCTCCTTTAATTTTACGTAAACACACTTTTTGAGGCTGAAGAAAATCTGACTGGTTTTCAAGGTGAAAATAAAATATGAAAGCTGTTCCTGGAGTTATTTCTGAACAGAACTAACATCAGAATAGTCTATTTCGGAAAAAATAAATTCACCAAATGAATCCTCAGCCAACAACTGTACAAGAATGATGTTAACTTCACACGTAGGAATGCTATGTTTCCTAGGATAAGACATTTTCAGTGATGGAGAATTACTATATTTTGTAAATGGAAATACCACTACTAAAACCAGAATGCTATAAATAGAATGATGTCTTTTATTTCCAAAGTCAATATACTAGAGTGATACAACAATAATAATAAAAGTGAGATATTTTGAGGCAAAGTTATCTTGGCATAAATGTTATAGCTGCAAGTGCTGCCAGTGAGTATTCTCGGGGCAAGTAGGAAAAGGGTTAAAATCAGTTACTGGACTTTTTTTTTTTTTTGTCTCTTTGATTGGGCCATGTTTCCCTGTCTCTTTGTATGCTTTATTTTTGTTGACTTTAATGTGAAAAATTAGTCATATCCTTATGGACTGACTTTGTACAGGGAACATTTTTCATAAATCAGCCCAGGTAGACATTCTAAGAGCCTCTCAAACCTTTTATGGGAATTTGTCTTCTCTGGGCTTGTGCATGTAATTCCTAACTAGTGAAGTTTTCCAGTTTCTTTCAGGAACTTGTAGTATCTTGCTGCTCTAGTATCTGTCTGAAATACTGCAGGTTCTCTGATGCTACAAGCCACTGAAATATATTTTGCTCTCAGTGGCACCCAGGAATCCAAAGTTTGCCAGATCTCTATCAGATGACACAGAAACTAGTCCCTTGAGCAGCCGCTATAACATATATCCAGAACATTGTGTATATCTTCCGCTCTTTTCTTTCCCTCAAAAAGGTGAAGCCATGAGTAAAGGTGAAGCCATGAGTTGCACTTTTCCTCCTAATTGTGAGCTCTGCCAGCTTGGAAAAAGGACTGATGTGGCTGAAACGCCCTGCTTTTCTTACCCATTTCAATGTGACCATTCTTGGCTTTGAGCTTGTCTGGGGTACTGTGACTTCCTAAACGGTTTCTGAAGTTGTCCTAATGGCTTTTTGGACCACATATTGTTGTAAAGTAAGTGTGCCTGTGGAGAACAAAGTCTAGGGCTTCCTATTCTGTCACCTTGTTGATATCACTCTCAATTAATTCTTTTTTTAGTTTTTTTTTCTGTCTTTTTACTCTCAAATTGTCTATGCTGTTATATTTGAAGTGAGTGTATTGCAGATAACATATAGTTGGTCATGTTTTTAACCCACTCTGTCAATCTCTATATTTGAATGGAAGTATTTAGACCATTTCTATTTAATATAATTATTGATATATTAGGGCTTCAGTATACCATATAATTTTTTCTGTTTCCTTTTTTCTGCCTTCCTGTTACCTGAATTATTATAGTGCTTCCATTTTGACGTGTCAGTAGTGTTTTTAAGTGTACCTCTGCATAATTTTTACAGTTTTTTTAGGTATTACATTGTACCACAACTTATCACATTCTATGAGTGTCATCTTATTACCAGTTCAAGATATATAAAAGCCTTAACTCTATTTACATCCTTTTACCCTCTCTTATTTATAATTGTGTTAAATATCTCCTCTATACACATTTAGAACCACACCAGACAATGTGATTATAGTAACATCAGACTCTGTTACTATAATCTTTGCTTCAACCATAAAATATACATTTAAAAATCCAAGAGATGGAAAGCCTATTGTATTTATCCATACTTTTATTATTGCATTATTTCTTCCTTCTTGATGAACCAAGGTTCATTTCCTTTCTGTGTAGGGAACTTCCTTTAGCTACTTTTTTAATGGTAGATTTGGTGTTGAAAAATTCTTTTAGTTTATTGCATCTGGAAATGATAGATTTTGATCTTGATTTTGCCTTAATTCTTGAAGGATATTTTCATTGGTTATAGGATTCAAGATTGATAGTTCTTTTCTTTCAGTACTTGAAAACTACTCATTTTTCCTTTTGGCAGGCAGGGTTTCTGATGAAAACTCTGCTGTCATTCAAATTGGTTTGGCCCCATAGGTCAGATGTCATTTCTCTACTGTGGCTTTCCAGATTTTTTTTCTTTCAGTGTTTACTGTTCAGAAGTTTGACAATAATTTATCTTGGTATAGATTTATTGGGGTTTGCTCAGCTTCTGGAATCTGAAGGTTCATGTTGTTTTGCTAAATTTGATAAGTTTTCAGCCATTATTTCCTTAATACTTTGCAGTCCCACCCTCTTTCTTCTCTTCCTTCCTCATTTATTTCTGTTGACACAGGGAAGGGGATAGGGAGTGGTAGCTACTCATTACTGCTAGGCAGTGGTGAGAATTCTAGCTCCCCACTGACACCACAGGGGAGGGGTTTCACCCACCATGATTCAAAGCCCCAGCTCCCTACTCTGCTTTATCTGACACTCTGGGGAAGTTGGGGGTACCTCATTATACCCTGATAAGGGTGAAACTCTAAGCTCTCCACTTGGCTTTTACTGGAGTGAGTTGGGGTGGGGCCACACTTGTGTGTGTGGGAGAAAGGTGTGTGCGTGTGTGTGTGTGTGTGTGTGTGTGTGTGTGTGTATGTGTGTGTGTTGTTGTTAAACCTAAGTAGAGAGATTATTTTCCATATGTTTTCTGTCTTGATACACTGCCACTTTCTTCATTCTATGATTAAAGAGAGCTAGATTTTGTTGGGATTTTTAATTTGTGTTTATTCCCAGTTCTAGGTTACTAGCTTCTTTAGCTCTAATTCTGGGATATATGAGGCAGAAAGAAAACTTAGGGAACTGACTTCCATGTCATTCTCTAAGACTTAGGGGTCCTACTTGGTCTGATGCGTCTTCACATTTCCCAGTCATCTTATGTTTGTCTTATATGTAATATCCAGAGTTTTTAGTTGTTTAGTGGGAAGAATAGGAAAAAATATATTTACTCTATCTTCCCATTAGCAGATCCCTTAATTACTTTTTAAATCTCATATTTATCATTAGCTATGTCTCTATTTTTGTTCCTAATATTAAAACATCAAGTGGGTTGTCATACAAAGGAGTGTTATTTCTGGTGCTGTAAGTTTTGAGAAATATTTAAAATAACCATCTCGTACAGATACAGAGCAGTGATTCCTGAATTTGGCAGAAATAGATAAGTGTTTGTAAGGGCCTTTGTAAAGCTAATATTCTGTGATTTCCATGAAGACTAATATCTCATGACTTCCCAACTTTGACCTTCTCCTGGTGATATAATCTATGCTTTCTTTTCTGTTATTATGTTTCCAATGGTTTGATTATATCCTCTGTCAAGATGAGAATCTTTGGGTAGAAGCTATTTCTTATATTTTTACTTTTACTTAAACTATTATTCTGCATAGAACACAATTATGGAAAAGTATCAAGACTCAGTAAACATCTTTTTGTTGATGAACTAATAACTCACAAAACACATCTACTTACCCAGTAATAATAATTTCTGGATATGTTTGTGCTCCAAGGTTCCAAGCTCCTCCACTGATTGGCCACTCCTAAACAGATTATCCAGAAAGAATATATATACATGTTTAAATGGCTTAGAAATTTAAAATGAAAATAGCTTAAAATAATGATAAAAAGCTCACTTAAAGAAAAATAAGTGTAAAATCATCAAGAATGAAGTGTGTAGCTGTCTTTTAATTCTTTCATTGAACAAACACCTCTAAATGCACAATTCCATCTCCCTTAAAAATATAGATTTTAATCAATCTTACCATTTATATAAACAAATCAAAGAAGTATTTTTAATTGTACAAATACAGTGTTGCTACATGCATCATATAGTCTGTGTACCACCAAACTACTGTGGTGCCATTTAACATAGAAGCTATGTAAATAGTGTCTCTTGAAGTTGTCCATCCCAAGAGCCCTGGGAGAATAATAGAAATCATAATAGATAATCTGTTACAATTGTAAATAGTTGAATCTTGTAGTAAACTATAATAAAAAATTCTAGAATGTTATTTAACAAATAACTTTTAATAATTATGTTTCCTAAACCATTAATTAATTATAAACTAGGAAGACCTGAGTCTTTTTATTTTCTTTATTTTATTTTATTTTATTTATTATTATTATACTTTAAGTTTTAGGGTACATGTGCACAATGCGCAGGTTAGTTACATATGTATACATGTGCCATGCTGGTGCGCTGCACCCACTAACTCGTCATCTAGCATTAGGTATATCTCCCAATGCTATCCCTCCCCCCTCCCCCCACCCCACAACAGTCCCCAGAGTGTGATGTTCCCCTTCCTGTGTCCATGTGTTCTCATTGTTCAATTCCCACCTATGAGTGAGAATATGAGGTGTTTGGTTTTTTGTTCTTGCGATAGTTTACTGAGAATGATGCTTTCCAATTTCATCCATGTCCCTACAAAGGACATGAACTCATCTTTTTTCTGGCTGCATAGTATTCCATGGTGTATATGTGCCACATTTTCTTAATCCAATCTATCATTGTTGGACATTTAAACATATTTTTTCATCTAAAATAAAGGTTACATCTTATGACTCAAATATATATTAGTATAAGTACATACTTAGTATATAAATGTACATACTAGATAAGTATATCTTAGTATATAATTATATACCTTCTGTATAAGAAATTATATTTCTATAGGCTTAAAGCTATGTAGCATTTAGAAAATTTGAATTTAAGAAGTTATGTATTTAATAGATGTTGGCTTATAACTTAAAAAGAATTTAGTTAAGTCCTCCTATATGGAATGTAAGAAAATAAAGTAATGGAAAAAAGTATGATCATGTGATATGAATACAAAAAAAGTTATTTATAATTTCTACTTTTACCTTATTACTGTATCCTTGTTTTTTATGCTTGACTCCTATAGAATACAGTACTAGAATCAAATCCGGAGGACAATCTGCAAAGTATGCTGTGCATGTAACTGGTGATTCATGAATGTCCATGGGATATGGATTTTCAAAGATTGGAAAACTAATAGATAAAGACAATATATCAGTGTTATTTTACAAAGAAAAAAACAGAAAATAATTTTGATAAAGTAAGCCCTAAAATGTCTCTAAACATCACTATAAATTTTGCTTGTTTTTTAAGTACCATAAAACAAGAATTGTATGAACAAAAATGCTCTTTTTGTAATAGTAATTTATAAAATGTAATATTAATACTAGTAAAATTTTACTCAAGCTCAAAATTTACTTCTCATAATTCTAACATTCCACAGTGGCATTGCTTTGCTAATATAGATACAATGAATTCTATTAATCTGAAACTATTATATAACAAGTTTACTTAGTTAATTCATTAAAAATAAACCAAGCACTTTACCTATATACATTGGTAAATATTTATTTAGTATCCTTATAAATATTAAAATATAAGTAAATTTTGACTTTCTTTCAATGGGAGTGCTATGGTTTGGATGTTTGTCCCCTCCAAACCTCATCTTGAAATTTAGTCCCCAGTGTTGGAGGTGGAGCCTAATGAGAGGTGTTTGGCTTATGGGGCAGATCCTTCATGAATTGATTAATGTCCTGTCTTGGAGGTGAATGAGTTCTCCCTTTTTGTTCCTGTGAGAGCTGGTTGTTAAAAAGAGCCTGGAGCCTTCTCCTTCTCACTTGTTTCTTCTTTCATCATGTAATCTCTGCACACACCAGCTCAGCCCCGCTTCACCTTTCACCATGAGTGAAAACAGCTCAGGTTCTCACCACATACAGATGCCCAATCTTGTAAACAAAATAAACATTTTTTTTGAAAAAAAATAAATTACTAGCTTCAGGTATTCCTTTTAGTAACACAAAACAGACTAAGACAGAAAATTAGTACTAAGGAGCGCGGTGTTGCTATAAAGATAACTGAAATTGTGGAAGCACTTTAGAAATGAGTGATGGGTAGAGGTTGGAAGAGTTTGGAGAGCTCAGAAGATAAAAAGATGAGGGAAAGTTTGGAACTTCTTAGAGATTGGTTAAGTAGTTGTGACCAAAATACTGACAGAAATATGGGCAGAAAAGGCTATGCTAATGAGGTCTCAGACAGAAATTAGGAACTTATTGGAACTGGAGCAAATATCCCCATTGTTGCACTGTAGCAAAGAACCTGGCTGCATTGTTGCACTGTAGCAGAGAATTTGGCTGCATTATGGAAGGCTAATCTTAAGAGCGATGACCTAGAGTATCTGGAAGAAAAAAATTCTAAGCAGCAAAGTGCTCAAGAAGTGGCATTGTTACTTTTAACAGCTTACACTAAATTATGTCCACAATGGAATCACCTAAAGGAAGAATCTATAATTAAAAGGGACACGAGCATTAACATTTGAAAAATTTGCAGCCTGGCCATGTGGTAGTAAAGAAAAGAGTGTTTTCAGGAGAGGAATCTAAGCAACTACTTCCTAAAGAGATTAGCATGACCAGTAAGAGAGCAAGGTATTAATAGTCAAGACAATGGACAAAAGGCATTTCAGAAATCTTTGAGGCCACCCATCCCATCACAATCACAGGAGCCTAGGAGAACAGAATGGTTTTGGGGGACAGGCCTAGGGCACCACTGCCCTGTGCCCCTTTGGGTCACTGTTCCTCACATCCCTACAACTCCAGCTCCCACTATGGCTCAAATGGACCCAGCTACTGCTGGGGTTGCTGCTCCAGAGGGCACAAGCCATAGCTTTGGTGGCATCCACATGGTGTTAAGTCTGCAGGCACCCAGAACACAAGAGCCATGGAGGCTTGGCAGCTGCCCCCTAGATATCAGAGGATATATCAAAAAGCCTGGGTGCCCATGCTGAAACCTGCCACATAGGCAGAGCCGCCAGCAGTGTGCAACCTCAGTCTGGAAAAGCCTCAGGCATTCAACTCCAACATATGAAAGCCACATGGGCTGTGCACAGCAAAAACATGGGGACAGGACTGCCAAGGCCTTGGGAGCCCACCCCTTGCACCAATGTTCCCAGGATGCAGGACATGGAGTCAAAGAAAATTATTTTGGAGCTTTAAGATTTAATGTCTACTCTGCTGTGTTTTAAAGCTACATGAGACTTGTTACGCCTTCCTACTGGAATGGAAATGTTTACCCAATACCTATACAACCATTTTTACCTTGGAAGTAAAGAACTTGTTTCATATTTTATAAGCTTACAGCTGAAAGTAACTTACTTTGTGTCTCAGATGAGACTTCGGACTTTGAACTTTTGAATGGATGTTAAAATGAATTAAGACTTTTGAGACTATTGGAAAAGAATGATTGTATCTTTTATGTGAGGACATGAGTTTTGGGGATTCAGGTGAAGAATGCTATGATCGGGATGTCTTTCCCCTTCACAGGGGCAGATTCCTCATGAATAGATTAATGTCTTCCCTTAAGGACGAGTTCCCACTCTTCGTTCCCATGAGAGCTGGTTGTTTAAAAAAGCCTGAAACCTGTCCCCTCTCTCTCTTGCCTTCTTTCTCACCATGTGATTTCTGCACACTCTGACTTCCCTTCACGTTCTGAGATGAGTAGAAACAGCCTGAGACCCTCAACAGAGGCAGACACTCAACCTTGGACTTTCCAGACATCAGAATTGTGAGCCAAACAAATAATTTTTCTTTATAAATTATCTAGCCTTGAGTATTCCTTTATAACAATATAAAAGGGACTAAGACAAAGAGGTAATATATAGGAAACTTTTAAATTTTTTTGCAGGAATAATGAAAAGATGTGTGTCATATGTAGGTTTGTGTGTATGTGACTGTGTATATCTAAAAGATCATTTCCTATGTAAACTAGAGAACATAGTTGGAATAAAGACTTATGGATGTAATAACTTTCATATCCTCAAGCCTACTATAACCTTAAAAAGGAAATGAGTTCAGAATCAAATTTAAAATTCCTGTAGCTATTTAGAACATCATATGTACAAGGCACTGTACTAGGAGGAAATTAGTATTATTCTATGCTATATCTGTTCCAGGTCTGTGTCATCCTATAACTTCTGACACACTGTGTTTTTTTAGGGTAGGAGGTGCTTGTTACAAAACAGTTTTTTGCCATATTATTAGGAACTTAATTAAAAATTAGGAGTTTAGTCCAATCTCCAGAGAATATAGTGTGTGTGTGTGTGTGTGTGTATGTGTGTGTGTGTGTGTGTGTGTGTTCTGGCAGGAGTTCTCTTTCCACCAATCTGAAATGTTGCAGATAGTATCCCAAATAAGAATAGTTATATATGCAAAATCAGGTAAAGGAAAAACTCATGTCTAGTTAAGGGACAAGTAGGTTAAACTAGAGGTACCAGAGGTTAAACTAGATATATCAGAGATTCTCTGTTTCAGAGTAGAAATTATTAATATTTCTAAGATTACAGAGTTAGAAGATAAATGGACCCCTTGAAGACCAGGCCTACAATTTAGAATTTGATAATAGCAAGAGGTAACGATAATAGGCTCCTGACAAAGTGAAATATTGAGAAAATTTTTGAGAAAAATTGTTTTAGTACATTGGCAAAGAGTAGGCAAAAAGATATTAAAAAGAGAAATAATAACTAAAAACTTACTAGAGGAATTTAGACATAAAGAAATCAAGAATAGAAATAATTTGTAAACCCTAATGCTTGCCTTCGGGTTGGGGATTAAATGGAAAGAAAAAGATAAAAAGAAAAAAATTGAAAGAGATTCCAAAGTTACAACTTGTTTAACATTCAGTATAGCTGAGAGGTAACCATTTGGAAGGAAAGAGAACATACTCAGTTTTTGACATGTTAAATTTCATGTAATAACCAATGAAATGGGAATGCCACATAGATTTTAATACATGCTAAAGAAGGTAAATGTTAGATGAAAACTTGCAAACAAAATGTTAATTCACATACTTATATAGGGTAATGAAAAGCACAAGAATGTATGTATACATAAAATGGTAACTTTTATGTTATACATAGTCTATCACAATAAAACAAAATTTAAATAAAAAAATATATATATATATACTGAAGAAAGTGGGCATGAAAGGTAAAGTATAATGGGCCTGCAAAGATGTTAGATACTTAGACAAAGTACGAGTAACCAACAAATATGACGTAGAAAGACGAGTTGAGTACCAATGAGATTAGAAGAGTATGTTTTAATAAGACTCATATTAGAACTTCTTAGAAGAATAAGCATAAATCCTTACATCTACCCAAAAAGTGTTAATGTTGATAAATAGGGCAGCTAAGCAGAATTCCCAGTTATGATGATTTAATGGCCCAAATCCTACATCCCTTTCCAAACACCGAGAACAATATCTGCAAATTAGTATGAGGAAGAACCCTGGATCTTACATTTACAAACAACTTGAAGAGTAGAATTTGGACTGATTTATTCAACAAAAATTTATTGAGAGCTGACTCCATGTGGAGACAGAGCCCCTCCTTCATGGAGCCTACAGCCTAGTGGGGAGACAATCTTTAAGCAACAGCAAATAGAAAATTGTATCTGTGTCAAAAGCTATGAAGAGAGAAATGTGGGGGGTATGAGAGCCCATACTAGAATATGTGGCCAAATTATATAGATAATGAATTTTTTTAAATAAGGAAGTGATATCTGACTTGAGAATCTTACAGATATTAATAAGAAGAAAAAATGAAGAGAAAGTCATTCCAGGCCAAGGAGAGACAACTTACAAAATTGTGTTACAAATATATGAGGCTAAAAGATCAGTGGGCGAAGAACATACAATGATGGAAATTAGTTTCATGCTATTACCATTATAATAAAAATGTACAGTTAGATTTTTACTGACAATGTAAAGGAGTGGAGAGCACCACTATTATAGCATTATTCTACAGTTGTTTCAATTGCCTGTGACATAATGAAAAAGGAATAAAAGTAAAAGAAGGCCCCTGTCTTCTCTGCCCCTGAGATTCTGGTCTTCTGTGTTGTCTGCAGCAGTAGTGCAATAATACTTCTATCATGTGTCATTTTCCATTACTCAGCTATCACATTGTACAAGTTTTCATAATGATTGATTTTCTTTAAGGAAACAACAAAAATGTGATCAATTTTATGTGTCCTGAGTCTCCAATGCTTCTGTCCAAACATCAGGTGCTGCCTTTAAGTTGTCTCACAATTTTCTCAGTGTTTCCCAAATTCCTCTGGTTTAATTTTCACCATTGAACCAAAGTGCATTTCTGTAATTCTAGCAAACCAATATTCACACAAAGAATACTTCCTATCAAAAGAATACAAATGCCAATAATCTAAAATAAATAGAGTTTAAAAGTGTTAATCTGTACATGGATAACTTACTTGCTTTGTGTCAGATCAACTACAATGAGATCTTTCTCCAGAAGTACCACGACAGCATAGGGTTCTTGAAATTCTACAAGTAAAAATAAAAAATGAAAAGTTTTCATATTGTATATACTATAAAATCAGCAAAATTGCATTTCCTTTATCCCTATACAAATATTATTTAAATGATGTGAGAAGACCAAACTATAAGCCAAAGTAAGAAGTAACAAAGAGCACTTAAAAAAAGTTGTGCTTCTCAAATTTAATATTAAGATCACTAGAAAGAACAAGAAAAAAATTAAAAGTAGCATAGTATAAATATATCTCAATAATCATGGAGTGATGATAATATTGGATTATGTGAAGACAGTGAATCTGTCACCTGATCTCACAAACATTTATCTTATTCTTCCATAACCTTTGTATTTTAGATCTGATTTTATGCCTACAAGGAGATGTACTGAGGGAATAGTATCTCTGCTTCTCTGGGATATGACATACATTCACATCTGTATAAGAGCAACACTGCTTATAATAAAAAGTTTACTTTCAATTCAATGTAATTTGAAATATATTTATAGGTTGTGTAACCATATCATATCAATCTGGTTCAACTTTTACATAACAAAGCTCTTCAGTTGCCATGGACTCCCAGATTGAAGGCCACGTAACCTGAACATGCCAAGATAAACAAAGCATGCAACCACAGGTAGAACCTAAGTGCCCAGAACAAGGAACAGGGACTAAAATTAAGAAGCATACATTGCATGGTAGGCTGCAGGATCCGATCAGATAGAGCCCTGGTATCACACCAGGGAAGGATCCAGTCAGAGCATACCTCCTGGCATCATCCTATGGCAAGATCCAATCAGATCATGACTTATTACGCGCTGACTATAAAACCTTCCTCAATCCCCAGCTTGGGGAGACAGATTTGACATCTGTCTCCTTGCCAGTTCACTCATGATAAACCTTTCTTGCTGCAAAAACCTGCTGCTTCAGTGTTTGGCTTTCCATTGTGCATGGGCAAATGGACCCAGTTTAGTTCAATAACAAAGTTGGTGACCCAAATCGGACTTCTCTAAATCCTTTCAGGACAGTTTTGACTGTGGCTCACCAGCTCCATATCAGGGATGGGATCCACTTGAGGGTCTGAGCAGCTGTCCAGGTGTTTTACTCAGTGATTTACTCTTGGTTCCTGTCTCCCCAGCATGGCCCTGCTGACTTTTGGTGCTTTTACTTTCATTTTTGCAGCAAAAAGAAGTTTTGAATTTTGGAACACATTTTTTTTCCTCTTTTTTATTTTTATTTTGTGGTGAATTAATCTCTGTACAAGTGACCAACTCTCAGCTCCTTTCTTATCAACTTCCACTAGGGAGCCTTGTCAACCTCCACAAGGGGGCTTTGTTAGGGGATTTCAACTTTGATTGAAAGAAGAATAAGGGGGTATGTTCACGTGGCACTCGATTATAAATTTGACTAGGAACTTGACTGGGAACTTGGAACTTGGATGTGTATATGTATATGTGTCAAGTTTAGGGTTTGTCTAGTCACTTGTTTATGTTGTTAAGACCACTCAGCAAACCCTGAAGGAGCTGCCAGTGGCAGCCAAGGAGGCCTGACTCAGGGTCGCTGTCTGTTCCAGTCAACTAGACTGAGTAAATTATTTGCTTGATTATTGGCTGGAGGTCAACCTTCCCCATCCAGAATGGACTAAAGATGTCTGAAGCTTGCAGGGACAAGTTTGAGCCTTGTCTGTTTGCTCCCTTTGAGTGGATCAAACTCAGAGTCCAAAATGCTGTGGTTTGTCTTGTTTGATTGGCTTTTTCTGTTTCTGTTTGTATTCTGATATGAGCAGTAATATTTGGCTTAAGCAGCAGTTAATATTTTGATGGCACAGAAACAGCCTAATTAGAAAATTATTTAATAGAGGGACTACATTGCTCCCTCCAGCCCTTTTAGGTACTCCTAGGAGACTAGAGGATACCCAACCCATTGGGTGATTCACTGGGAAGGAATCTCCATAAGTACCACATTGCAGACCCAAAATATATATATCTCTTTCTAGTGCAGGGCCTTGCTCTAGCCATCTGAGATAAACTTCCAAGCAAAATGGGGAATGTTAATTGTAGCAGGACTCCAGCAGCACAAGCCATAAAGGTACAACAGTGGCCAAAGAAAATGCTTCTTCCTTTCTTGTGGTCCTTAAAGCCTTCAGGCAATACACTGACATTAACCCCGAACATCCAGGTAACCTGAGAGTTTTATCAGTCACAGTGCCCCTGGCATAAGAGGAAAACTACAAAAAGTAGAAAAGGTGTTGGGAATATCAATATCTCCAGTAGTCGAGATTGCTTTTAAGGCATTTAATCATCTTATTCAAGTCCAGGAAGGGCAAAAGCAATGCGACATGAGACAACAAGCTATGCTGCTTGCTGTGGCTCTTGGCCACCACCAGTCGAGGCACAAGATGGAGCATGCTAGGAAAAACAAATGGCCATGGGTAAGACCCTTAGGGACCCCACTGCTGGCCAAAATGGCCGTACACTCTTGAGGCCACAATGTGCATATTATAAACAAGAGGACCATTGGAAATGGGAGTGCCCTAATCATCCTGGCAGGTAGAGAAAGAAGCTGCCCATTAATCAGCCCACCAGATACCAGTTTCTGATAGTGATTAAAAATAATGGGACTGGGGATCCTCTATGATCTAGGAACCTTAGGTAATCTAATGTAGAAAAGAGACTTATTGGCTTTCTAATTGATTCTAGAGCTAACCTTCTTCAACTAGCTCCTCTCTTCCTGCCGGTCCGCCCGACTACTTTGCTACTCTGGTTTCTCTAAAATTCAGTAAGGGGCTTCAGCCACGTGGAACAGAAAAATTTAAACTAAAATTGTTAGTTTAACAGTGACGAAGTTTGAATCTAACTATCCCTTTTAACTAGTGAGTTATGCCTGACATATGGCTAAAGCTTTATTTAAAGCTTGATCATTATTTGTATCTGGCTGCATGTACAAGTCTGGTTGTATTTGTCTATGGTACCAAATTGGCTTATAAATAGATGAGTATTCATAAATTAAGCAAATAAGACCAGGAACTTTTCAAATTCATGTTTGACTTAGAAATCTTTTGGCAAATGGGACTAGTCTAAGATTGTTGATTTGATGGGAATGCCTGTGTCCTCTGAATTATTTGACTTTAAGGTCATTACTTTTATAATATTTGCCCGATATAGACAAATACAACCAGACTTGTATCTGGCTGCATGTACAAGTCTGGTTGTATTTGTCTATGGTACCAAATTGGCTTATAAATAGATGAGTACTCATAAATTAAGCAAATAAGACCAGGCACTTTTCAAGTTCACATTTGACTTAGAAATCTTTTGGCAAATGGGACTAGTCTAAGGTTGTTGATTTGATGGGAATGCCTGTGTCCTCTGAATTATTTGACTTTAAGGTCATTACTTTTATAATATTTGCCTGATATGCAGTTGTATAAAATAAGTAATAGATAAATAATTTGGAATGATGACTAGTTTGTCTATTATCTCAGTTTTCATAAGTAATCTCAGCACACTGCTAAAATAAATAAATAAAGGTAAATGGGATAAATAGCTATAAATTTTTATGTAATTTGAAATCCTAAATTAAATAATAGATGACTCATTAAATGTACAAGTCATTTTCAAATACGATAAAAACTGAAACAAACTGCTGAACATAAATAGGGTTGTCCTTGGCTTCTTAAATTTAATAGAAAGACTAGAAATACTAAGAGAAAGACTAAATATGCATAAAAATATGTTATAGGGAAACACGTTTTTCTGACAATTATAAAATGGCTCTTGGCCAAGCATGGTGACTCAAGCCTATACTCTCAGCACTTTGGGAAGCTAAGGTGGGAGGATTGTTTGAGGCCAGAAGTTTGAGACCACCCTGGGTAACAAGGCAAGACATCTCTACAAAAAAATAAAATAATTAGCCAGGTATGGTGACATACACTTGGAGTTTCAGCTACTTGGGGGGCTGAGGTGAGAGGATTGCTTGAGCCCAGGAGTTTGAGGCTGCAGTGAGCCATGATCATGCCACTGCACTCTAGCCTGGGCAAAAGGGCAAGACCCTGTCTCTAAAAAGTAAAAAAATGAAAAATAATAAAAATAAAATGGTTGTTATCTGTTAAATAATGATATGTAACAGGCAAATCAAGATTTTGTGTTTCCTATGTTTTTAATAAAATTTAAGGTTACCAGAAGCTAAAAATTCCAATTGATATATAATTCTGTATATAAAGTATGCCAAAGTAAGGTGTGTTTAATAAGAGAAAAAAATGTCTTTTATTGAGAAAAAATAACTTTTTCTAATTCAAAGGTTATCTAAAGGGAGTGTCAAAATGTGGATTTAGGAAGGAAATAGAAACAAGATAGAAAGGAACTGTAAATAGTAGAGACAGAAAGAGATGTAAGGAGAGTTATAGATGTAAAGATAAGAGAATAATTTTGCATGAGATAGTCTTGCATGGTAAATCTTTTTCCTAGAGCGATATAACTGGTTACTTAAGAAGAAAGAGGAAGTATAGAGTGAGGCAGGGTGTCTCAGTAATCCATAGATGGTCTGAGTAAATCATGATAAGGTTCATGAATGGGAACTTATGAAGGAAATTCTGGGTGTGATTAAGCTGGCTATAATTAAAAGAAATTATTTGTGACAGTCTTTCTAAAGAATAAACTTTGATGTTAAAATACACTGATACAAAGTTTAAAAATCTGGTCACCTATGTTAAAACAACAAAGGTTTCCTTTCTTTTCTTTTCTTCTTTTCTTTTCTGAGACGGAGTCTCACTCTATCGCCCAGGTTGGAGTGCAGTGGCATGATCTCGGCTCACTGGAACTTCCACCTTTCAGGTTCAAGCGATTCTTCTGCCTCAGCCTCCCGAGTAGCTGGGATTACAGATGTGTGCCACCTCACCCAGCTGATTTTTGTATTTTTAGTAGAGACGGGGGTTTCACCATGTTGGCCAGGCTGGTCTTGAACTCCTGACCTCAGGCCATCCACTGCCTCAGCCTCCCAAAGTGTTGGGATTACAGGCATGAGCCACTGCACCCAGCCAACAAAGGTTCAATTGCTTTTAGTAAGATTGCAAGAGGTTTTGATTTTTAATTCTGAAATGTGTTTAACAACCATCCTCTGAATTACAAACAAATTTCTATTTCTGTCACATTTCTTCCTGAGAACTACCTAGTTTCTCTGGTTTTACTTTTATCCTGAAGGTCCAGAAAAGCAATGTTTTACTCGGTATAACTTGATTGAGTACTCTTGGCTTTTCTTTATGTGTCTGAATTATTTTATGTAACCAGAACTTCATATGCTCTTGCTAAGAACCACATATTCCTTGCTCAAGGAATATATGAGCCTAGGAAACACAGATTCTGTGTTTTACCAAGGAAACTTCCTGTACTTCATGCTGTCCTTGTTGGGTTTTGACTACTTCAGAAAACTGAACTTTACAAGGGTTAAGGTTTTTACATCCATGTAACTTTCTGTATTGCTTTTGAAATCTTCTGATTTTTACTCTTACTTTGGTTGAATAAGTAACTATTATTTAGCAGTGAACACCATTCTATTAAAGAAAGTAGTTTTTGAAATTTTTAACATCTTTGGCAGGTCTCTCCAGGACCCAAATCTTAAGTTAAGCCTTTTGGCCTAAAATTAATTTTACAATTTTCCACATAGGCCCCCTGAAGAGCCTCAAAGGGTTTATCTCTCATCTTGTACAGATATTAAATGATTAGGTTTATTTGGTAAATAATACAGGAAGTGCTGTCAAATTATGAATGGTGTTTAACTTCCCTTAAGTTATATTTGTGGCTTTATTAAAAAGTGTAAAATTGTATAAAATTCTGATATGCCAAGATATGTGCCATAATAATGATTATTATGTTAAATGATTGTATGCCACCAAAATATCTAAATTGCCTTGTCAATTGGAAATTCTCATCATATCTTTGGCTATGATTGTTCTGGGTTTTTGTCATCCACAGTTATTGTTTTAAATTCTCTAGAAGTATTTGCAATGGGCTATAGTCCAAAATTGCTAATCAAAATAAAGAAAAAAAAATTTTTTGAAACAGTCTTACTCTGTTCCCCAGGCTGGAGTACAGTGGTGCAATCATAGATCGCTGCAGCTTCCATCTCCTGGGCTCAAGCTTGATCCTCCTACCTCAGCCTCTGGAGTAGCTAAGACTACAGGCGTGTACCACTACACCCAGATAATTTTTTTGACTTTTAGTAGAGACAGATCTTGCTATGTTGTGCAGGCTGGTCTTGAAATCCTGAGCTCAAGCTATTCTCCCACACAGCCTCCCAAAGTGCTGGGATTACAGGTGTGAGCCACTGCACCTGGCCAACCAAACAGAATTATTTAAATGAAATTAAGTAATTGATAAGGATAATGTTTTTGTTGCTTAAATGTTTTGTTTTCCAAATTCAAGGAAATTTTCTGACATAAGCTATCTATAGCTTGCAATATTTTGGTAAAGTATCCTCTATTGAACAAAGGTGGAAGCATTTGCTTTTTCTCCCTACTTGATTCCTTAAAATTCAGAAGCTATAAATGAATATTCTTATTTTTATTTATATAAGTTAAATAAAAATCTTATCTCTCTTGAAAGCAGGATACAATTGGGAACATTGGTTATATTACCAAGGTATGAACTGAAATGTTATATGTAAAAATGTGCCTAAAATGCTTGTCTTCAAGAGTTCCTAGTTTTACAGTGAGTAAGTAAAAACTATCACTTCCTGGTAGGCCCAAGAACCTTAAGACTATAAGTAAAATCTAATGCCTGACTTGGTCTGGCCATCTAGCTTCAAGAGGTTCTAATAGCTGAGATTTCTTATATGATCAATGTGGAGAGGAAAAGTTATGCTTCTAAGAAAAGCAAAATTGTATCTGTTATTAGATTGTAACATTGTGCATTGCCCTAAAGTCCTTGTTATTTGGCTATAGACTGGACTAGATTCTGAATTCTCCTAAGATCCTCTAACATTTGGTTATAACTAAATCCTGATGGAGTCCCCTAGCCCTCTTTCCCCAGTCCAGACTAGGGATGCTCTCGGGACATTCAGGGGATTTCCCCTTTTAAAATCTAACCAACTAGGTGAATTAAAATATCAGAATTGGACACAAACCGTACCCATAGGATACTATAGTCTCCTTGTCTCAAAGAAGTTGATGTTGTCTCTTCTTTTGTAAAAGCCACAATGAAAATAGTAACGGGGCCCCCCTCACTGTCTGTATTCCACACTCTAATGGGGCTCTCCTCAATTCACATCACAAAGAGTCTAGCAAACTATGCAGTTCTTTTTCTATCCTCACCTCCCCTTACCATGACCCAATATAACTTGCTTAATTCTGCCACTTTACTTATCTTTCCTGATGTCAGGTCTGTCCAACAGGCAGAACTGCATGCTCTTACTAGACATGTCTTTTAGCCAAAGGTAAAACAGCCAATTATTTATACAGATGGCAAGCATGCCTTGGGATAGCTCACAACCTTAGTATCTGTGTGAAATATATCCACAATACCATATTGGAAAACCATTTCGTGGCTTCATGGACCACTTCACATTACCAAAAAGTCCCTTTGAGGCACGGCAACAATATTTTTTTCAGCTCCCTGTCTCTCAAGGATATCAGTATGTACTAGTTACAGTTTACATGTTTTAGCATTGCATTGAAGCCTTCTATTGTCAACAGGCCATAGCCATGGCAGTAGCTAAGGCCCTGTTGGAAAATTTATACCAACCTGAGAAGTCTCTCAAGGGCTTCATAATGCACGAGGAACTCATTTTACAGGGCAAATTATTGAAAACATTTGTATAATTTGGCCTATTTATCAACATCTCCATTGTGCTTACCACCTCTAGTCCTCTGGACTGGTGAAACAGACCAAGGGAATAATAAAAGCCCAATTGGCAAAGATTTGTGGTGTGGCATTTAGCCTGCCATGGCCCAAGGCCCTTTCTTTAGTCCTCCTTAACCCTGGCATGCTTTCAATGTTCCTTTGTAGAGTTCTAAATTCATCTAGGTGGTCAGGGTAGCCAACACATTTGTGGTAGTCTCTAATCTTTACTGATCCCCTTCCAATTAGGACTCCTCATTGGCAGTCATTTCTGCTTGTCCCATTGGCCTCCGTACAGCTCCTGGGAAAGAATTTTGTACAAATCTGCCAGGTCCATATTTCCTTCTCCCAAAAAGGGTGAAATAATATTAGTGTTATCTCACCAGGAGATCTGGCCTCAGAAATGGCTTTTACCCTAATTCTCATCTCTCGAGTTGGCCTCACTAACAGTGCTCACCCTCCTCTCCACGAGCTACCAATTGTGCCCCGAGAGTCCTGGGGCACAATCCAACACCAATGATAATCCCAGAGATTACAGCTGGGGATGTACTCAAGGATGTGATTTACATGGAGAATAATCCTCTAATGAAGGAGCTAGATTAGGAAAGTTTCTGGGGTCCTGGTTTGGACTAGGTTCTGCTTGAGGTGGATATATGGTCAGAAACCTTTCCGGCACTGTCAATAGAGTTAAAGTACATCTCCTAGCTTTTGACAAGTGAAAAGTTCCATCCTCATTACCACATTGCTAAAAAACAAAGATTTTTATATATGGCTTGAAAGTGAATAGGAATGGTTACATTGCATTTATGCTTCATTGAACCTTATTAGAAATTGTCCTAACATCTCTACCAACGTGCAGAAATTTATATACACACAGACCACACATTCTCAATTTCTATTGCTCACACATCTTCTTCCTCAAGGCTTTTCATAGGAGGCATTTTCCTAAGCTCAGCTGTTGGTCTTCTGTTCTCTCTTCCTACATTCTTTCATTATTCATTTTTGTAACTCCAAAAAACACTTATATTCTGATGATTCATAAATATTGTAAGACAGTTTCTCTCTTCTTCTGTTCCCTAAACAACTCTACTCTCTCATAATCAGACTTACCTTTCTCTCTTTCCAAAAACTGCTATTACTATGCATGAAACCACGACTATTTAACTTAAAAATTAATACATTATTTATACTCTGAACCATACAACTCAGCACTTAATTAAGGTCTTTCATTACTTAAACTTAACAAGTCATAATAATCTCACTCATCTGACCAGATTTTATGCAATTTGACATCAGAGATTAGTTTAATACTTTATCTGTATGCTCAACAAGTTCTTGTAGTACTGGGGCCATAGAATGATTCAATAATTATTTGACAATTAAAAACATAAGTAAATTGTCTGTCCTAGTAACTTTGGAAATAAAGTGCTACATTGATTATTATTTAATATCAATTTATCCCATCTTTTAAATGTGAGACTAAATAATTTAAAGTAAGTTAATACATATAATAGTGGAACTCACAACATATATATTTTTATAGTTTAAGAAGTATGCTCACTTAACCTTCCAGTAGTCATGTGGAGACCATATTACTATTCTCTTTCTACAAACGATAAATAAAACTAATAAATGTAAAGTGACTTGCCCAAGGTCACCTAGCTAGTAAGTGGCAGAGCTAAATCATAACCTCACATATTCTGTCCCCAAGTCCAGTGCTCTTTCTCTTATATCTGCATATTCTGTCTTAAAAATATAGTAATGTATACACACATACTATGTTGTTGTAACATGACTCATATTTCCTTTTTTATGTTTTCACTTTTCTCACTTTTTAGATTTATTTATTTATTTATCTATTTATTTGTTTGAGATGGAATCTCATTATGTTGCCCAGGCCAGTCTTGAACTCCTGGACTCAAACGATCTGCCTGCCTTGGCCTCTCAAAGTGCTGGGATTACAGGCATGAGTCACCACACCTGGCCACATTATTAAAATATTTCATCATTATTAGATTTCATTATACAGATTGCATATAAGTTTAGACTAGTTGTTATGTTTACAAAAAGTCTTTATATTCAGTATAATAAAAATATATAAGCATTTCTCCTCCCAAAGTCCCTTCTGACTATTCTCAAAATTTTAAAAAGTCATTAACCACACATCTGCATTACTAGAGTAATCAGAGGTGCTGCAGTTGCATCTGAAGCAAAGCCAGATGTGAAACAGATGCAGCACCACCACAGTTACAGATTACTGATATCAGGTAAGTGCTTTAACTTTGATTGGCTTTGGGATGGAATTGATGGAGCTGGTCTGAGAGAGGCTATTAAGAGACCTCAGCTTCCCCAAGTGATTTCACCCTGGACCCTTATCAGACCCTCCCAGCTCAGCTTCCACCATCTAATCAAAGTTTAAAGCACTTACCTGATATTAGAACCTGAAATGCCAGCATTGCTGTACTACATCTGTGTTATTTCCAGTTTCTCAAGTAGGTACAGTTGCAGAACCTGTTCCAGCACTTGTAGCTCACAGCGTTATACCACAGTAGACATCTGAAAATATTTAACCTTAATTTTGTTAGAAACTTGTCATTTCCAAAATGATTTTCAACATTAATAGTTTCATTTTAGTTACTTACCATTTGGATAGGGCGTTTCACATAAAGTTAGAAATTCAACAATAGGATGATCCATTTCAAGTACTGTAATTGCTTTTCCATGCATGATGGTTAAACTTGGTCTTCTACAAGCTTTGTCATAGGACAGCCCACCAGAGAATATTATGAATGGTTCGCTACATAGGAAAAAACATGAATGAGACTCAGAAGTCCTTTAAAATGACACAAAGTCACAGGACTGAACCTATAAAGAACAGGTTTTGTTGCATACCATATAACATGACAGACAGCAAAAAACTTGCCCGGCTCAAAATTTCTCATTCAATAACCTACTATTCTACCATTTCCCACTTTCTAGATGTACATTCTCACATTAAATTTACTAATGGACCAGTCTAAACATATTGGGGTAGGTTTGGGGAAAGGCAGTGAGCTTGGAGGAAGGTAGATGTGCTCACTGACTCTCAAAAGGACATCTTCACGTACTTTACTTGGTTCCCAAACTCTAAATCACTATCATTGGAATATTAGTCTATGTCAGAATATCAGATTAATTAGCTGGCCTATGGGGCCTAAAATCTGTACAAGAGAAAAGAGACAAATTTTAATATAAAATGAAATGTGACAGTGGAAAGCTCAGAATGGCAGAGGGTAAAATAAGAATTCTAGATAATGGAGTTTCTGTGAAAAAAGAGTAAAGATAAAAAGATGGAGAAAGCTAATATGTAAGAGAAGGATAGCTAATCAAAGATAAATTGCCTTTTCTATTTTACTTGTGGCCAGTCTATAGATCAGTATAAACTCCATATATCTTGCTCAACTAACTTTAAACAAGATTTTTGGTCTGTTGCTTTATAAGATATAATTAGATAATAGAGTGGGGTTAAGATTCCTCTAAAACATTATAGCTATCTGAAAATTATGAAGTCATTTCACAGTTTTTCATTTTTCATTTCTCAAATCAATACTTACATATCTCTAGTGTATGTGTACAAAAGAAAAAGTGTGTTAGCAAAAAATATTTTCAAGAAGTAAGAAGTAAATACCAAATTGAAAATATTCTTTTCTAATTTTTTTAAAGACCTAGAGGCTTTTATTGTATCAAATTATTTGAGAATATAATGCTCATCTACATAATTCACTTACATCCTATTTGCTAAGCTGAAGAATCTACTTGTTTCTAGAAATCGCTCTGTAAGATTTCCTTTTCTCTTCCGTTTTGTACTGTGTGTGGCGCCAAACATTATCAGTGGGACATTTACTAATCTTATGCTGGCTATATAACCAAAAAGGGTTTTTTTTTTAACAAAGCTTCTATACAAACATACATATAAAATGTGTGTATTATTTTCTATTTATAATTCTATCAGTATTCTGACATAAATATTTGAGTTATAAGCAAAATAAACAAAAATACTCTAACTTATTTTACTTCAGTTGATTTGAGTAATAGTCTTGCACCAGTGATTTGATATGGTAAATGACCAACCTACTAATGGTGCCATTAAAAAGCACATTTGTTATTTCTATAAAATGTATATTTATATTATTAATAAGATTTATCCAGATTTAAAAAGCATTTCTAATATAGTTATTTATGAAATAGTGTGGGGGTTTTTACCTTTGTTTTTTGCTCTGTTTTGCAAAAAAAGGCCACGACTTAAGAGAATGTAGTATCTTTTCATAATATTAATAATAATATTAAGCTTAACTACCTACTATTAATATTAATAAAGGCCATACGTATCTATTTTTTTCCTGTGTAAAAGTAGGTGAATTTACTCTCATCCCCTAATACTAATCCAAGCATAGGATAAGGAGCAATTTACCCCCCCTGCTTTTTTGTATATACATTGGAAATATGTCCTCTCTAATATTGAAAGGAAGTAAAACCTCTTCTGCTCTAATTACGACTCTGCATCAGAATACTCTGGGTCTGAAGTTAGTTGTTAATATATATGCATTTCTCTATAAACTACTGAGTGACTGAATAAAAAGTTATTTCCTCAGGAAAGTGCTCAGGGAACCACTCATGGTTAACTGTACTAAATATTTAATTATCATCTTTAATCCTCATAAGCAATGTCCTCATTTTATTAATGAGGTTAAATAACAGCTAAGAAGCAACAACCAAAAGAAAATTGAGATCTACCAGACTCCAAAGCCTATGATTCTAAACACTCCTATATATTGCCTCTAGTAATAAATAGCTACCATTTACTGAGTGCTTACCATGTGGCATATATTGTGCTATGTGTATATATAAAGTAAATTTTGTGTAATCCTCACAACAACCTTGATGAAGAAAGTACTATTAGTCCCATTTTATACATGAATAATCTGGGATTAATGCAGATTAAACTTGTCCAGGGTCAAGCAGCTAGTGAGTACCAGGACAAAGATTCAAACCCAGACTCAAAAGCCCACATTTTTCATTTTTAGTTTAATGTTTCCCAAACTGTGGAATACAACTTGGTAGTTGTCGAGCAGAAAAAAATTAATTTTGATAATTTGATAATTTGCACTTGCAAAACCATATCTCCTTTCAGGAATTTTGCATTTCATAGCATATGTTAAAAATTCTGAGAAATCATATGGCAAGCAATCCAATTTACTTTTATAGAATTCAAAATTTCTCACATTTATTAGATTACAGATCCTTTTTATTGCATGAATATCATTAGTGATTAAAGGAACACAGTTGTTTGATAATGCTGTACCACACTAAATGTTGTACCAGCCTAAACTGTGTCAGGTGTTATTTAATACAAAGATTCTATTAAGGGATACCTATCAGATGGATTCTTATAAAAGAAATAAATGACCATATACTTGAAATGTCCTCATACTTAAAGAAAGCATTAATAAAAAATAACAAATTATGGATACATAACTTGGATGAATCTCAAAGGCATTCTGCTGAGTGAAAGAAGCTAGGCTTAAAAGGTTACATAATATATAACCACTTATATGTAACAGTCTCCAAAAGGCAAAACTATAGTGATGGAGAACAAATCAGTGGTTGCCAAGGGTTAGGAGTTGGGGAGAGGAGTGACTATAAAGGGACAGAAAGTGAGAGTTGTGGGAAATGATGGAAATATTCTTTATTTTTATTGTGGTGATAGTTTTAGAAATCATACATGTGTTTAAAACATGAAACTGTACACCAAAAGAAAAATAGTTAATTTTACTGTATGTATAATTTGTAAAATACATACAGAAAACAGCATTAAAAGTTTGTTCCAATGAAGGCAACAAGATTAAACAAGTTGTGTAACATAATAAATATTAAATGCTAACATATATTGAGTATTTATGATATTCTAGGCATCGCATGCAGAATTTTACATGCATTCTTTTATTTAATCCTTATAACATCCCAATGAGATAACTACTATTATTATCTCCATTTAACAGATGGGTATATTGAGGCTTGGAGAACTTAATTATACATAAAGCCTATCAGTAGGCTGCCGTAATAGGAACAGATTAAAAGATTAGCAGAAAATAATTTTCTTTAGCTTAAGAGCACCTAATAATTCTAGTGGTAGTCAGTATATAAATCAATATTCCTATCTTGAAGAGGATAAAATTATTAAGCCTAGAGGCCATCTTAGTTGGAGTGTCAGTAAGCAAATTGGTGATTGGGGATAAATGATTCCCATATACATAGCTGTTTATCTCTGGAAATGTAAAGCAAGTCTGCGATTGGCTGGTCTGACATAAAACCGAGAAGAAAACACATCCCTTACATGTGCTACCTATGCAGTCCAGTAAGAGACCCTACTGCTGCAGCTTATATGGTAGAGCTCTTCCTAAGGTTCCTGTTTCTGTGACAGCCATCCTGACTTATAACTGTACAGTTTCTGCCGTGTAATAGTTGGAGCAGGGATATAGCTATATAATTCCACTTCCTAACTGTGGCCCATTTTGCTGTGGCAATAAATTTTAGTATTCTTAACCTCACTGCCCCTCTGCTTTTTAACCTCCTTGTGTGCTAAGCTCCAGAGGTAATAAAGTAGTAATCACAAAAAACAGAAGCAATGTACTAATGTACACAAGTAGGTGGGATGACAGTAATTATCATCAATAATATGATTGTTTCACATTACAAATATGAAGATTAATTTACACATAGTTGTATTATTGACTAGCAAAAAATTAAGAATACTTGAATAATTTTAACTACATGAAATAATGATGTCAATAATAATAGTAACTACTAAGAAACCCACTATGTGTCTTCATCAAACTGACGACATTACAGGCTGTATCCATTATTTCATTTAATTCTCATGAATATCATAGTGAGACAGGTATTGTTGATAAGGAAACTAAACTTTAAGAGAGTTAATTAAACTTTGCAAGGTCACACAACTGTCTTACTTCAAAGCCAATGATTTTAATTATTACTTTACACTGCCTTAACTTGAGTTTTTGATTTCTAAAAATATGTTCTCTTCACTTTCATCTCTTCCTCCCTTTGCTTGGCAACATCTGATCATCCTTAAAGTCCCATCTCAGGCATCTCCTTGCCAAAGAATTTTCCTGATTTCTCTCTTCATGGTTCTCCTCCCTACTCCCTTCAAGGCTGGGTTAGGTGCTCTTTTTGTGTGCTCCCATAGCATATCTCTATAAAAGTAACTTCCATGTTGTATGGAAATCACTAGTTTATGTCCTTGCCTCTACTGCTAGAATATAACAAATTCAAAAGCAAGCAGTAATCTTATTTCAGAACATCAAACAAATCGCATTTGTTTAGTAATATAGTAATAACTACTAAATAATACTATATACTATATATTATATAGTATATTATACTAGCATATATAGTATATTATATATAAGCTAGTAGTATATAGTAATATATATACTATATTATACTATGTATAGTATATAGTAATATATATACTATATTATACTATGTATAGTATATAGTAATATATATACTATATTATACTATGTATAGTATATAGTAATATATATACTATATCATACTATATATAGTATAGTATATTATTACTATATATTACATTACATTATACTACATATTATATTATACTATATAGTATATTATATATTATACTATATATTATATTATATACTGTATATAGTGTATATATATTATATATAGTATATTATATAGTATATTATACTATAGTATATATATTATACTATATATTATATAGTAATAGCTACTAAACTATAGTAGTAACTACTAAATGTTGTTTTAACTGAATTAAGCTGAATACTGTTGAGAATCCAACAGAAATACAAATTGTAAAGACCTCCAAGCAATAAAATAGACGTCATAAAGTCCAGGCATGTATACATTGTCATGGAAGAACCTCTCAGGCATTATATGGATCTATTTGCTCTCATTTTACAAGTTTGGCTTTCAAGTTTCTTAGTCTACAGAAAATCAAAGATTGGATACTAGTAGATAACACAATAAAGATTATAAGAAATCCTCATGGCTCAAAACTGAAGGAAAGAGAAAAGATTTTTAAAAATATATGAAAGTGAAGCGGAATCTGGGCTAGCAAGATGGCCAAATAGGAACAGCTCTGGTCTGCAGCTCCCAGCGACATCAACACAGAAGGAAGTGATTTCTGCATTTCCAATGGAGGTACCCAGCTCATGGAACTGGGAATGATTAGACAGTGGGTGCAGACCACGGAGGGTGAGCAGAAGCAGGGTGGGGCATCACCTCACCCGGGAAGTGCAAGGGGTTGAAGAACTTCCTCCCCTAGCCAAGGGAAGCCATGAGGGACTGTGCTGTGAGGAACAGTGCATTCTGGCCCATATACCACGCTTTTCCCATGGTCTTCGCAACCCGCAGACAAGGAGATTCCCTCCAGTGCCTACGTCATCAGGGCCCTGGGTTTAAAATGCAAAACTGGGAAGCCATTTGGGCAGACACCGAGCTAGCTGAAGGAGTTTCTTTTCATACCTCGCTGGCACCTGGAATGCCAGCAAGACAGAACCATTCACTTCCCAGGAAAGGGGGCTGAAGCCAGGGAGCCAAGTGGTCTAGCTCAGTGGATCCCAACCCCACAGAGCATAGCAAGCTAAGATCCACTGGTTTGAAATTCTCGCTGCCAGCACGGCAGTCTGAGGTCGATCTGGGAAGTGCCAGCTTGGTTGGGGGAGGGGCGTCACCATTACTGAGGCTTGAGTAGGTGGTATTGCCCTGACAGTATAAACAAAGCCACCAGGAAGTTCGACCTGGACAGAGCCCACCACAGCTCCACAAAGAGGCTGTAGCCAGAGGGCTTCCCTAGATTCCTCCTCTCTGGGCAGGGCATCTCTGAAAGACAGGCAGCAGCCCCAGTCAGGGCTTATAGATAAAACTCCCATCTCCCTTGGACAGAGCACCTGGCGGAGGGGTGGCTGTGGGCGCAGCTTAAGCCGACTTAAACATTCCTGCCTGCTGACTCTGAAGAGAGCAGCAGATCTCCCAGCACAGTGCTCGAGCTCTGCTAAGGGACAGACAGCCTCTTCAAGTGGGCCCTTGACACCCATGCCTCCTGATTGGGAGACACAACCCAGCAGTGATCGACAGACACCACATACAGGAGAGCTCCAGCTGGCATCTGGTGGGTGTCCCTCTAAGACGAAGCTTCCAGAGGAAGGAACAGGCAGCAATCTTTCCTGTTCTGCAGACTCCCGTGGTGATAACCAGGCAAAGAGGGTCTGGAGTGAACCTTCAGCAAACTCTAGCAAAACTGCAGCAGAGGGGCCTGACTGTTAGAAGGAAAACTGACAAACAGAAAGGAATAGCATCAACATCAACAAAAAGGACATCCACACAAAAACCCCATCCGAAGGTCACCAAGACCAAAGGTAAATAAATCCATGAAGATGAGACAAAAAAGTATAAAAAGGCTGAAACTTCCAAAAACCAGAAAGCCTCTCCTCCAAAGGATCACAACTCCTCACCAGCAAGGGAACAAAACTGGATGGAGAATGAGTTTGATGAATTGAAAGATGTAGGCTTCAGAGGTGGGTAATAACAAAATCCTCTGAGCTAAAGGAGCATGTTCTAACCCAATGCAAGGAAGCTAAGAACCTTGAAAAAAGGTTAGAGGAACTACTAACTAGAATAACCAGTTTAGAGAAGAAGATAAATGACCTTGGAGCTGAAAAACATAGCACATGAAGCATACACAAGTATCAATAGCCAAATTGATAAGTGAAAGAAAGGATATCAGAGATTGAATATCAACTTAATGAAATAAAGCATGAAGAAAACATTAGAGAAAAAAGAATGAAAAGGAATGAACAAAGCCTCCAAGAAATATGTAACTATGTGAAAAGACCAAACCTATGTTTGATTGGTGTACTTGAAAGTGACAGGGAGAATGGAACAGAGTTGGAAAACACTCTTCAGGATATTATCCAGGAGAACTTCCCCAACCTAGCAAGACAAGCCAACATTCAAATTCAGAAAATAAAGAGAATATCATAAAGATACTCCTAGAGAAGAGCAACCTCAAGACACATAATCGTCAGATTCACTAAAGTTGAGATGAAGGAAAAAATGTTAAGGGCAGCCAGAGAGAAAGGTCGGGTTACCTACAAAGGGAAGCCCATCAGACTAAACCAGTTCTCTCTGCAGAAACCCTACAAGCCATAAAAAAGTTGGGGCCAATATTCAACACTATTAAAGAAAAGAATTTTCAAACCAGAATTTCATATCCAGCCAAACTAAGCTTCATAAGTGAAGGGGAAATAAAATCCTTTACAGACAAGCAAATGCTGAGAGATTTTGCCACCACAAGGCCTGCCTTACAAGAGCTCCTGATGAAAGTACTAAATTTGGAAACAAAAAACTGGTACTAGCCATTGCAAAAACATACCATATTGTAAAGACCATAGACACTATGAAGAAACTGCAACAACTAATGGGCAAAATAACCAGCTAGTGTCATAATGACAGGATCAAATTTACACATAACAATATTAACCTTAAATGTAAGTGGGCTAAATGCCCCAGTTAAAAGACGCAGACTGGCAAATTGGATAAAGAGTCAAGACCCATCAGTGTGCTGTATTACGGAGACCCATCTTATGTGCAAAGACACACATAGGCTAACAATAAAAGGATGGAGAACTGTTTACCAAGCAAATGGAAAGAAAAAAAAAAGCAGGGGTTGCAATCCTAATCTCTGATAAAACAGTCTTAAACAAAGATCAAAAAAGACAAACAAGGGCATTACATAATGGTAAAGGGATCAATGCAAGAAGAAGAGGTAACTATCCTAAATATATATGCAACCAATACAGGAGCACCCAGATTCATAAAGTAAGTTCTTAGAGACCAACAAAAAAAAACTTAGACTCCCACACAATAATAGTGGGAGACTTTAACTCCCCACTGTCAATATTAGACAGGTCAATGAGACAAAAAATTAACAAGGCTATTCAGGACTTGAACTCAGCTCTGGACCAAGTGGACCTAATAGACATCTACAGAACTCTGCACCACAAATCAACAGAATATACATTCTTCTCAGTGCCACAATGAACTTATTCTAAAATTGATGACATAATTGGAAGTAAAACATTCCCCAGCAAATGCAAAAGAACAAAAATCATAACAGTCTTTCAGACCACAGTGCAATCAAATTAGAACTCAGGATTGAGAAACTCACTCAAAACCACAAAACAACATGGAAACTGATCAACCTTCTCCTGAATGACAACTGGGTAAATAATGAAATTAAGGCAGAAATAAATAATTTCCTTGAAACCAATGAGAACAAAGACACAATGTACCAGAATCTCTGGGACACAGCTAAATCAGTGTTTAGAGAGAAATTTATAGCACTAAATGCCCACAGGAGAAAGCAAGAAAGATCTAAAATTGACACCCTAACATCACAGTTAAAAGAACTAGAGAAGCAAGAGCAAACATATTCAAAAGCTAGCAGAAGACAAGAAATAACTAAGATCACAGTGCAACTGAAGGAGATAGAGACATGAAAAACCCTTCAAAAAAAATCAATGAATCCAGGTGCGGGTTTTTGAAAAGATTAACAAAATACATAGACAACTAGCCAGCCTAATAAATAAGAAAAATGAGATGAATCAAATAGACACAATAAAAAGTGATAAAGGGGATATCATCACTGATCCCACAGAAATACAAACTACCATCAGAGAATACTATAAGCACCTCTATGCAAATAAATTAGAAAATCTAGAAGAAATGGATAAATTCCTAACCACATATACCCTCCCAAGACTAACCCAGGAAAAACTCAAATCCCTGAACAAATAAGTTCTAAAATTGAGGCAGTAATTAATAGCCTACCAACCCAAAAAAGCCCAGGACCACATGGATTTACAGCCGAATTCTACCAGAGGTACAAAGAGGAGTTGGTACCATTCCTTCTGAAACTATTCCAAACAATAGAAAAAGAGAGACTCCTCCCTAACTCTTTTTATGAGGCCAGGGTCATCCTGATACCAAAACCTGGCAGAGACACAACAACAACAACAAAATTTCAGGCCAATATCCCTGATGAACATCAATGCAAAAATCCTCAATAAAATACTGGCAAACCGAACACAACAGCACATCAAAAAACTTATCCACCACGATCAAGTTGGCTTCATACCTGGGATGCAAGGTTGATTCAATGTATGCAAATCAATAAACGTAATCCATCACATAAATAGAACTAACTAATGACAAAAACCTCATGATTATCTCAATAGATGTAGAAAAGGCCTTTGATAAAATTCAACACCCCTTCATGCTAAAAACTCTCAATAAACTAGGTATTGAAACATATTTCAAAATAATAAGAGCTATTTATGAGAAACCCACAGCCAATATCATACTCAATGGGCAAAAGCTGGAAGCATTCCCTTTGAAAACAGGCACAAGATAAGGATGAGGTCTCTCACCACTCCTATTCAACATAGTATTGGAAGTTTTGGCCAGGGCAATCAGGCAAGAGAAAGAAATAAAGGGTATTCAAATAGAAAGGGAGGAATTCAAATTGTCTCTGTTTGCAGATGACATGATTGCATATTTAGAAAACCCCATTGTCTCAGCCCAAAATCTCCTTAAGCTGATAAGCAACTTCAGCAAAGTCTCAGGATACAAAACTAATTTGCAAAAATCACAAGAATTCCTATACACCAATAACAGACAGAGAGCCAAATCGTGAGTGAACTTACATTCACAATTGCTACAAAGAGAATAAAATACCTAGGAATACAATTTACAAGGGACATGAAGGACCTCTTCAAGGAGAACTACAAACCACTGCTCAAGGAAATAAGAGAGAATACAAACAAATGGAAAAGCATTCCATGCTAATGGATAGGAAGAATCAATATCACGAAAATGGCCACACTGCTCAAAATACTTTATAGATTCAATGCTATCCCCCTCAAGCTACCATTGACTTTCTTCACAGAATTAGAAAAAGCTACTTTAAATTTCATATGGAAGCAAAAAAGAGCCTGTATAGCCAAGACAATGCTAAGCAAAAAGAACAAAGCTGGAGGCATCATGCTACCTGACTTCAAACTATACTGCAAGGCTATAGTAACGAAAACAGCATGCTTCTGGTATCAAAACAGATATACAGACCAATGGAACAGAACCGAGTCCTCAGAAATAACTCCACCCATCTACAACCATCTGATCTTTGATGAACCTGACAAAAACAAGCAATGGGGAAAGGATTCCCCATTTAATAAATGGTGGTGGGAAAACTGGTTAGCCATATGCAAAAAACTGAAACTGGACCCCTTCCTTATACCTTATATAAAAATTAGCACAAGATGGATTAAAGACTTAAACTTAAGACCTAAAACCATAAAACCCTAGAAGAAAACCTAGGCAATATCATTCAGGATGTAGGCATGGGCAAACACTTCATAACTAAAATACTAAAAGCAATGGCAACAAAAGGCAAAATTAACAAATGGGATCTAATTAAAGTAAAGATCTTCTGTACAGCAAAAGAAACTATCATGAGAGTGAACAGGCAACCTACAGAATGGGAGGATATTTTTGCAATCTATCCATCTGACAAAGGGCTAATATCCAAAATCTACAAGGAACGTAAGCAAATTTACAAGAAAACAACAAACAACCTCATCTAAAAGTTGGCGAAGTATATGAATAGACACTTCTCAAAAGAAGACATTTATGCGGCCAAAAAACATGAAAAAAAGCTCATCAACACTGGTCATTAGAGAAATGCAAATCAAAACCCCAATGAGATACAATCTCATGCCAGTTAGAATGGCGATCCTTAAAAAGTCAGGAAACAGGCCAGCATGTTGGCTCACTCCTGTAATCCCAGCAGTTTGGGAGGCTGAGGCGGTCGGATCACGAGGTCAAGAGATGGAGACCATCCTGGCCAACATGGTGTAACCCTGTCTCTTCTAAAGTAAATACAAAAATTAGCTGGGAATGGTGGCACATGCCTGTAGTCACAGTTACTCAGGACGCTGGGGCAGGAGAATCGCTTGAACCCCGGAGGCAGAGGTTGCAGTGTGCTGAGATCACGCCACTGCACTCCAGCCTGGTGACAGAGCGAGACTCTGTCTCAAAAAAAAAAAAAAAAAAAGAAAGAAAAAAAGTCAGGAAATAAGAGATGCTGGAGAAGATGTAGAAAAAATAGGAATGCTTCTTTGAAAACTGGCACAAGACAGGGATGCCCTCTCTCACCACTCCTATTCAACATAGTGTTGGAGGTTCTGACCAGGGCAATCAGGCAGGAGAAAGAAAGAAAGGGTTTTCAATTGGGAAAAGAGGAAGTCAAATTGTCCCTGTTTACAGATGACATGATTGTATATTTAGAAAACCCCATCGTCTCAGCCCAAAATCTCCTTAAGCTGATAAGCAACATCAGCAAAGTCTCAGGATAAAAAATCAACGTTCAAAAATCACAAGAATTCCTATACACCAATAACAGACAGAGAGCCAAATCGTGAGTAAACTCACATTCACAATTGCTACAAAGAGAATAAAATACTTAGCAATCCAACTTACAAGGGATGTCAAGGACCTCTTCAAGGAGAACTTCAAACCACTGTTCAACAAAATAAAAGAGGACACAAACAAATGGAAGAACATTCCATGCACATGGGTAGGAAGAATCAATATTGTGAAAATGGCAATACTGCCCAATGTAATTTATAGATTCAATGCCATCCCCATCAAGCTACCAATGACTTTCTTCACAGAATTGAAAAAAACTACTTTAAAGTTCATATGGAACCAAAAAAGGTCCCGTATTGCCAAGACAATCCTAAGCCAAAAGAACAAAGCTGGAGGCATCACACTACTTGACTTCAAACTATACTACAAGGCTACAGTAACCAAAACAGCATGGTACTAGTACCAAAACAGAGATATAGACTAATGGAACAGAACAGAGGCCTCAGAAATAATACCACACATCTACAACTATCTGATCTTTGACAAACCTGACAAAAACAAGAAATGGGGAAAGGATTCCCTATTTAATAAATGGTGCTGGGAAAACTGGCTAGCCATATGTAGAAACCTGAAACTGGATCCCTTACTCACACCTTATACAAAAATTAATTCAAGATGGATTAAAGACTTAAATGTTAGACCTAAAACCATAAAAACCCTAGAAGAAAACCTAGGCAATACCATGCAGGACATAGGCAGGGGCAAGGACTTCATGTCTAAAACACCAAAAGCAATGGCAACAAAAGCCAAAACTGACAAATGGGATCTAATTAAACTAAAGAGCTTCTGCACAGCAAAAGAAACGACCATCAGAGTGAACAGGCAACCTACAGAATGGGAGAAAATTTTTGCAATCTACTCATCTGACAAAGGGCTAATATCCAGAATCTACAATGAACTTAAATTTACAAGAAAAAAACAAACAACTCCATCAAAAAATGGGCAAAGGGTATGAACAGACACTTCTCAAAAGAAGACATTTATGCAGCCAAAAGACACATGAAAAAATGCTCATCATCACTGGCCATCAGAGAAATGCAAATCAAAACCACAATGAGATACCATCTCACACCAGTTAGAATGGCGATCATTAAAAAGTCAGGAAACAACAGGTGCTGGAGAGGATGTGGAGAAATAGGAACACTTTTACACTGTTGGTGGGACTGTAAACTAGTTCAACCATTGTGGAAGACAGTGTGGTGAGTCCTCAAGGAGCTAGAACTAGAAATACCATTTGACCCAGCCATCCCATTATTGGGTATATACCCAAAGGATTATAAATCATGCTGCTATAAAGACACATGCACACGTTATGTTTATTGCAGCACTATTCACAATAGCAAAGACTTGGAGCCAACCCAAATGTCCATCAGTGATAGACTGGATTAAGAAAATGTGGCACATATACACCATGGAATACTATGCAGCCATGAAAAAGGATGAGTTCACGTCCTTTGTAGGGACATGGATGAAGCTGGAAACCATCATTCTCAGCAAACTATCACAAGGACAAAAAACCAAACACTGCATGTTCTCATTCATAGGTGGGAATTGAACAATGAGAACACTTGGAAACAGGAAGGGGAACATCACACACTGGGGCCTGTCATGGGGTGGGGGGAGAGGGGATGGATAGCATTAGGAGATATACCTAATGTAAATGATGAGTTAATGGGTGCAGCACACCAACATGGCACATGTATACATATGTAACAAACCTGCACGTTGTGCACATGTACCCTAGAACTTAAAGTATAATAATAAAATAAAAATAAAAAATAAAAAAACATAAAAAAATAGGAATGCTTTTACAGTGTTGTTGGGAGTGTAAATTAGTTCCACCATTGTGGAAGACATTGTGGCGATTCCTCAAGGATCTAGAACCAGAAATACCATTTGACCGAGCAATCCCATTTCTGGTTATGTATCCAAAGGATTATAAATCATTCTACTATAAAGACACATGCACATGTATGTTTACTTCAGCACTATTCACTATAGCAAAGACTTGGAACCAACCCAAATGCCCATCAATGATAGATTGGATAACGAAAATGTAGCACATATACACCATGGAATAATACTGTGCAGCTATTAAAAAAGACAAGTTCATGTCCTTTGCAGGGACATGGATGAAGCTGGAAACCATCATTCTCAGCAAACTAACACCGGAACAGAAAACCAAACACTGCATATTCTCACTCATAATTGGGAATCGAACAATGAGAATACATGGACATAGGGAGGGGAACATCACACACCGTGGCCTGTTGGGGGTTGTGGGGGTTGGGAGGCTAGGGGAGGGATAGCATTAGGAGAAATACCTAATGTAGATGATGGGTGCAGCAAACCACCATGGCACGTGTATAACTATGTAACAAACCTGCACTTTTTACACATGTATTCCAAAACTTAAAGTATAATAAACTATATATAATGTGAAAAAAACCCATAAAATAATACCACAAGCTGCTAGGAACAGTTAATATAGTGTCCTGCACCTTAATAATCCTTGAAGTGCAATACCACATAAGAAATATTGTAAATAATGTTGAACCTGAAAACTCAAGCAAAGCTTAAACTATAAGTAATATTTCAAGAGGCAAAATATATGTCATATATTTCATATTTCCATTAATAATGATTAAATTTGAAACTTTCTAATACTTTAGTTATAATGGTATAAAACAGTGGGTTTTTTTGTTATTAGTATTTTTTTACTATTACACTTTAAGTTCTAGGGTACTTGTGCACAACATCCAGGTTTGTTACATATGTATACATGCACCATGTTGGTGTGCTGCACCCATTAACTCCTCATTTACATTAGATATATCTCCTAATACTATCCTTCCCCCCTCCCCCCACCCCATGACAGGCCCCGGTGTGTGATGTTCCCCTTCCTGGGTCCAAGTGTTCTCATTGTTCAGTTCCCACCTATGAGTGAGAACATGTGGTGTTTGGTTTTCTGCCCTTGGGATAGTCTGCTGAGAATGATGGTTTCCAGCTTCATCCATGTCCCTACAAAGGACATGAACTCATCCTTTTTTATGACTGCATAGTATTCCATGGTGTATATGTGCCACATTTTCTTAATCCAGTCTATCACTGATGGACATTTGGGTTGGTTCCAAGTCTTTACTATTGTGAATAGTGCTGCAATAAACATACATGTGCATGTGTCTTTATAGCAGCATGATTTATAATCCTTTGGGTATATACCCAGTAAGGGGATGGCTGGGTCAAATGGTATTTCTAGTACTAGATCCCTGAGGAATCGCCACACTGTCTTCCACAATGGTTGAACTAGTTTACAGTCCCACCAACAGTGTAAAAGTGTTCCTATTTCTCCACATCCTCTCCAGTACCTGCTTTTTCCTGACTTTTTAATGATCGCCATTCTAACTGGTGTGAGATGGTATCTCACTGTGGTTTTGATTTGCATTTCTCTGATGGCCAGTGATGATGAGCATTTTTTCATGTGTCTGTTGGCTGTATAAATGTCTTCTTTTGAGAAATGTCTGTTCATGTCCTTCACCCACTTTTTGATGGGGTTGTTTGATTTTTTCTTGTAAATTTGTTTGAGTTCATTGTAGATTCTGGATATTAGCCCTTTGTCAGATGAGTAGATTGCAAAAATTTTCTCTCATTCTGTAGGTTGCCTGTTCACTATGATGGTAGTTTCTTTCACCAGACAGAAGCTCTCTAGTTTAATTAGATCCCATTTGTCAATTTTGGCTTTTATTGCCATTGCTTTTGGTGTTTTAGACATGAAGTCCTTGCCCACGTCTATGTCCTACATGGTATCGCCTAGGTTTTCTTCTAGGGTTTTTATGGTTTTAGGTCTAACATTTAAGTCTTTAATCCACCGTGAATTAATTTTTGTATAAGGTGTAAGTAAGGGATCCAGTTTCAGGTTTCTACATATGGCTAGCCAGTTTTCCCAGCACCATTTATTAAATAGGGAATCCTTTCCCCATTTCTTGTTTTTGTCAGGTTTGTCAAAGATCAGATAGTTGTAGATGTGTGGTGTTATTTCTGAGGGCTCTGTTCAAACAGTGTTCATTTTTATCAGTGAATGCATAGTAGGCTAAAGAGATATCTATATATAGATAAAATAACAGGTTAAAAATGAGCATAATTTTGTACTATTAAAATTTTAAAAGAGCAGTTATAAACAAACATTCAGTATACCTATGATACCAAGAAAACATTATAAAATGTTCATATTATTAATATAAACTAGGATTATTTAATTTGAATTAAAATAAATTTAATGTTTAGGCAAGATTTATTATGGTAATTCTCAATGAGTGTATTGCCACTAATTATTATTGCCAAGTAAAAGGAACTTGTTGATTTATAGGATATGGCTACTTTTTTTTCTTTTTGAGACAGAGTCTCGCTCTGTTGCACAGGTTGAAGGGCAGTGGCAGCATCTTGGCTCACTGCAACCTCCACCTCCTGGGCTCAAAGGATTCTTGTGCCTCAGCCTCCCAAGTAGCTGGGATTACAGGCACATGCCACCATGCCCAGCTAATTTTTTTGTGTATTTCTAGCAGAGGCAGGGTTTTGCCATGTTGCCCAGGCTGGTCTCGATCTCCTGACCTCAGGTGATCCACCCGCCTTAGCCTCCCAAAGTGCTGGGGTTACAGGCGTGAGGCAGGGCACCCAGCCGGATATAGCTACTTTAAACACAAAATAATATTTTACTAAATATTATTATTTTTGTATTTTTCAACACCTTAAAATTTAGTACTTTTTATTACATTAATATACACAACTTTATCTTTCGAACAAACTGTAATCTTCCAACTTCAGAATGTAAGATCTTAAAGTATAGACACTTGGTTATGTATTTAAGTCTTTCACATGCAATATTAACGGGCACATTGCTTCTGCTTAATAAATCCTGCTACTTGTAATATGCATGGCCAGAAGTCCTTTACTGTTAAAATTAATGTGTATAATACTTGTCTAAATGTTCATTAAGAATCCTGAAATAATTAACACTTGTAATTTATAATAATCATAATAATAATCATCAGAGATATGTCTATGAGACAAGTCAATTATGTTAATATTGAGGATTCAGTTGTCTTTACAATTTTGTAAAACTTTAAACAATATCTTAACATTAAAGGTCATCTGCATTTTTTGTCTCTGCTTCGTATCCCTCTTTCCCTAAAGTAAAAATGCATACCTGTTTTTGCAGGTCTTGTATTCTACTTTAAGAATTGGTTTACAAGATTCAGATTTTCTTCCTTCTCTTTGACTTTTTCCTAAAGAAAAAAAATATTTAATTGAATCTAATTTAAATTATATTCATCTGTAAGAATTAAAAAATTTGACTAAGGGAATTTAAAGATAAAGGAATAATAATGTTAATTCTATGTTTGTCATAATAGGATAAACTTATATCTATGAATCCCAATATTTTTGTTGAATTTGTAAACAATCTTTAGAGTTGCAATAATTGTCTGCTATATAATTCATAAAATTACCTGTAAAATTATATAACTTTTATCACTTTACATCCTTCACACATAAATCTAATTTCATGTGGAGTTATTTTAATTATTAAAGTTTGAAGACAAAATAAGTTTAGAATTGAAGACCACACATACATACTTATCTACATAATGAAATGTATTACTATTGCTATGGTTTGAATGTGTCCCCCAAAATTCATGTGTTGGAAACTTAATCCCCAATGCAACAGTATTGAGAATGAGACTTTTAAGAGGTGATTAGGACATGGGGGCTTTGCCCTCATGGATGAATTAATACAGTTATTGTGAGAGTGGGTTGGTTATCATGGGAGTGGGTTTCTGATGAAAGGATTAGATCAGCCCCCTTCCCTCTCTTGCACATCTCTCAACATGTGATACCTTCCACCATGTTATAACACAGTAAGAAGTCCCTCATCAGATGTTGCCCCTCAATCTTGGCCTTTACAGCCTCCAGAATCATAAGCCAAATAAACCTCTATTGTTTATACATTGCGTAGTGTGTAGTATTCTGTTACAGCAACATGAAACAGACTAGGACAACAATGACAATCCATACTAGGATCAATATTTTATCTATAATACATGCAAACTCCTTTCATACAGAGAAATACTTGCTATTTAAAGCATACAATGAACTATTAAAATTATTCTATCAAATACATTTTTAAAAACTTCCATTAGACAATGAACACAGATACTACATTTCATGATTTTTAAAAATCATTTTAATGATGTATTCATTTTGCATAAAACAAAAATGATAATTTCTTATAGGGGATGGGTTATTCTGTTTAGACTCCCTAAGATTTTGAATAAAGGATCAAAAAGAGAAGGAAATAGAAATGAAGCTACTTCTGCACATAACATGCTTATCTTTCTAGTTATGCTTTCAGTTTAATTCTTTCTCATTTTGGTTAAACTGGCTTGTGTTCTGAAATGCAATATTTGTTTCTTTTTTATTTTCAGTAAGTACCCTTATTTATTCTTGTATTACCACAGTTGTTTATCTATTACATAGATACCTATGTAATACATTATCTATTACATAGATACCTATGTAATACATTGTTTATCTATTACATATCTATTACATAGAAGTTTACATGCATATAGCTTTAAATTTTCAGATTAGCTTCAGAATAACATAAGCATATCCAAATAGGATATCAAGATAGCTTTATTCAACTTGTTTAAAGGGCAAGGAATTAACAAACAACAAATCAATATCTGCTGCTTGGCATGCTTTCTGAAATTGCCTTTTCTTTATTTTACCCTATGTTGACTAAAGAAGAAAAAAATAATAAAAAATTGACCATAATCATTCACACTGTACAAAAATATACATACTGTGCCATATGTAAAATAGAATTGCTAACATTATATGTAGATCATGATGTCTTAGAAAGAGAAAACTTTTGCTCAGGAACTTGTCTGAACAATAGTCTTTTTTTTTGAGACAGAGTCTCGCTCTGTCACCCAGGCTGGAGTGCAGTGGTGCGATCTTGGCTCATTGCAACCTCTGCCTCCTGGGTTCAAGTGATTCTCCTGCCTCAGCCTCCCGAGTAGCTGGAACTACAGGTGTGTGCCACCATGCCCGGCTAATTTTTTGTATTTTTAGTAGAGACAGAATTTCACCGTGTTAGCCAGGATGGTCTCAATCTCCTGACCTCGTGATCCACCTGTTCTCAGCCTCCCAAAGTGCTGGGATTACAGGCATGAGCCACCAAGCCCAGCCCTGAACAATAGTCTTAAGATTGAGAAATAGATGGTTGGAGATTACTGGCTTTGGTAATGATGTGGGAATAGAGAGAAATAAAAAAGTGACACAGCCAGGGGAGAGATCCACTCCCCTTAGTTTATATGTCTTTTCCATCCAGCACTTCACTAAATTGTCAAACCATTAATTGAACAAAACAGTATATTTGCAGTTGTTTGTACATATTAAAGCATTTTTAATCAATATACATCAGAGTCATCAATTGATTTCAGTGGGAAAGAATAATTATATAATTACTTGTTAAGTTAACATTTTCCTTCAATTTCCAACTCTACCAATTTATTCTTGGGAGAGAATTTTTGTGCTTTGATTATACTTATTGACTGTCACTAATTGAAACATGATTAAATGTCATGTTGTGTATCACAACATTATCGACAATTATATTTCTTACTATTCCTAACATTCAGAGTAGTGTACCAAGTGTTAGGGTATTAAACAACTGAATTCCAGAGGCTTAAAATTCACTGTATTAAAAAATAAGTAAAAATGACAATATGAAGTACTATAATGAAATGAGTGATAAGCATAAAGTGCTGTAGAGGTTGAGATTAAAACTGGTTTTACTGACAGGCCAATTTGACTAGATTAAAAGATTTGTGAAGGGAAATAGGGGAAATAATGTTAATGAGGTACAAAATAGCCAATCAATGGCAATCTCTAAACTTATTTTCAGTATAGACAATGGAGAGTTATGAGAAGCTTTCAAGTTAGGGAGTGATGAGTGTAAAGCAATGTTTCAAAAATATTAATGTGTCTTCATTTAATAGAGCAATTTTGAGGGTGTAAGAGACTGATGCTGGAAGAACACAGAGATTATTGCAATAGCACAGAAAAAAAAAACAGAAAAAAAGAATGAAGGAGTATGAACAATCTCAAAGAAATATGGAATACTGTTAATCACAAGAATATACATAATTGAAATAGAAGAAAAGGAAAGAAAGGAATACAAACATTTTTTAAAATAATGGTTGAAAACTTTCCTAAATTTGAAAAAAACATTATCTATGCTTTAAGAATTTCAATAAACTCCAAGTAGGATAAAGAAATCTCTACTCAGAAACATCCCAGTAAACATGCTTAAAAGAAAAAAAAATAAAACACCTTGAAAGCAGTGTGTACAAAAGAACCCTATTAAGATTAACAGCTAACTTTTAGAAACAATGGAGGCTGAAAGGCAATGGAATGTGATATGACATATTTAAAATAGTAGAAGAAAAAAAGTCTGCCAACCAAGAGTCTTATGTTGAGCAAAACTGTCTTTCAAAAATAAAGATGAAATAAAGATAATTTCAAGATAAACAAAAACTGAGAGAATTTGTTGATAACAGAGCTATCTTACAAAAAATACTAAAAAAAGTCCTTCAGGCTGAAAGAAAGTGACCCAGCAAGTAATTTAAGTCTACACAAAGAACAGAGTACCAGTAAAGGTAACTAGGTAGATAATTACAATGACATAATTGCATATGTATTCTCCAACCACCTCTTAACTGACTTAAAAATCAATTATATAAAACAATATGTATATAATTGTATTGTGAGATCTGTATATATATTTGCCAATAACAAGAAAAAGAAGGTGGGTGAGAGCAAAGCTGTATTGGAACAAGGAAAAGATACCAGTTGGTAATTTGAATCTACAGCAACAAATGAAGAAAACCAAAAATGATAAGCAAAAACATCAATGTAACAGATTCTGTGAATATATACTTGATCTACATTTTTTGTCAACATTCTTAAAAGACATACAATTATATAAGATTTAATAATAATTTAATTTAAATAATGTATTATTGGATTTGCAGCACATATAGATATAAAACATATAACAAAAAATTGGACAAAAAAAGGAGAAGAAGAGCAGAGCACAATGGCTGATTCCTGTAATCCCAGCAATTTGGGAGGCCAAGGTAGGTGGATCACCTGAGGTCAGGTGTTCAACACCGGCCTGGCCAACATGGTGAAACCCTGTCCTTACTAAAAATACAAGAATTAGCCAGGTGTGGTGGCACGTGCCGGTAATCCCATCTACTCGGGAGGCTGAGGCACGAGAATCCCTTGAACCCAGGAGGGGGCCAATATTCAACATTCTTAAAGAAAATAATTTTCAAACGAGAATTTCATATCCAGCCAAGCTAAGCTTAATAAGCACATAAATAAAATGCTTTCCAGACAAGGCAAATGTTGAGGGATATTGTCACCACCAGGTCTGCCTTACAAGAGCTCCTGAAGGAAGCACTAAATATGGAAAAAAAAAAACAACCAGTAACGGCCACTGCAAAAACATACAAAAATATAAAGACCAATGACACTGTGAAGAAACTGCATCAACTAATGTACAAAATAACCAGCTAGCGTCATAATTATAGGATCAAATTCACACATAACAATATTAACATTTAATGTAAATGGGCTAAAGTCTCCAATTAAAGACAAGACAGATAAATTGGATAAAGAATCAAGACCCATCGATGTGCTGCATCAGGAGACCCATCTCACATGTAAAGACATACTTAGGCTCAAAATAAAAAGATGGAGGAATATTTACCAAGCAAATGGAAAGCAAAAAACAGTAGGGGTTGCAATCCTAGTCTCTGATAAAACAGACTTTAAACCAACAAAGATCAAAAAAGGAAAAGAAGGACATTACATAATGGTAAAGGGATCAATGCAACAAGAAGTGCTAACTATCCTAAACATATATGCTCCCAATACAGTGGTATCCACATACTGGGATATGAGCCAATATACCACCCAGATTCATAAGACAAGTTCTTAGAGGACTACAGAGAGACTTGGACTCCTGCATAGCAATAGTGGGAGAATTTAACACCCCACTATCAATATTAGACAGATCAACAAGACAGAAAATTAACAAGGATATTCAGGACTTGAACTTGGCCCTGGACCAAGAAGACCTAATAGACATCTGCAGAACTCTCCACCACAAATCAACAGAATATACATTCTTCTCAGTGCCACATAACACTTATTCTAAAATTGACCACACAATTGGAAACAAAACACTCCTCAGCAAATGCAAATGAATGGAAATCATAACAAACAGTCTCTCAGACCACAGTGCAATCAAATTAGAACTCAGGATTAAGAAATTCACTCAAAACCACACAACTAATGGAAATTGAGTAACCTGCTCCTGAATGACTACTGGGTAAATAACAAAATTAAGGCAGAAATAAATAAGCTATTTGAAACCAATGAGAACAAAGAGAGAGACAACGAACCCAGAATCTCTGGGACACAGCTAAATCAGTGTTAAGAGCAGAATTTATAGCACTAAATGCTCACATCAGAAAGCAAGAAAGATAAAAAATCAACACACTAACATCACAATGAAAAAAACTAGAGAAGAAAGAGCAAACAAATTCAAAAGCTGGCACAAGACAAGAAATAACTAAGTTCAGAGTGGAACTGAAGGAGACAGAGACATGAGAAACTCTTCAAAAAATCAATGAATCCAGAAGCTGGTTTTTTGAAAAGCTTAACAAAATAGACTGCTAGCTAGACTAATGAAGAAGAAAAGAGAGAAGAATCAAATAGATGCAATAAGAAATGATAAAGGGGATATCACCACTGATCACATAGAAATACAAACTACCATCAGAGAATACTATTAGCACCTCTATGCAAATAAACTAGAAAATCTGGAAGAAATGGATAAATTCCTGGACACATACACCCTCCCAAGACTAAAACAGGAAGAAGTTAAATCCTGGAATGTACCAATAACAAGCTCTGAAATTGAGGCAGTAATTAATAGCCTACCAACCAAAAAAGTCCAAGAACGGATGGATTCACAGCCAAATTCTACCAGAGGTACAAAGAGGAGCTGGAACCATTCCTTCTGAAACTATTCCAAACAAAAGAAAAAGAGGCACTCCTCCCTAACTCATTTTGTGAGGCCAGCATCATCCTGATACCAAAACCTGGCAGAAACACAAGAAAAAAAGAAAATTTCAGGCCAATATCCCTGATGAACATCAATACAAAAATCTTCAATAAAATACTGGCAGACCAAATCCAGCAGCACATCAAAAAGCTTACCCACCAAGATCAAGTCGACTTCACCCCTGGGATGCAAGGCTAGCTCAACATACACAAGTCAATAAACATAATCCATCACATAAACAGATCGAATGACAAAAACCACATGATTATCTCAATAGATGCAGAAAAGGGCCTTTGATCAAATTCAACATCCTTTCATGATAAAAACTCTCAATAAACTAGGTATTGATAGAAGATATGTAAAAATAATAAAAGCTATTTATGAAAAACCCACAGCCAATATCATACTGAATGTGCAAAAGCTGGAAGCATTCCCTTTGAAAACTGGCACAAGACAAGGATGCGGTCTCTCACCACTCCTATTCAACATAGTATTAGAAGTTCTGGCCAGGGCAATCAGGCAAGAGAAAGAAATGAAAGGTATTCAGTTAGGAAAAGAGGAAGTCATATTGTCTCTGTTTGCAGATGACAAGATTGTATATTTAGAAAACCCCATCATCTCAGCCCAAAATCTCCTTAAGCTGATAAGCAACTTCAGCAGAGTCTCAAGATACAAAATCAGTGTGCAAAAATCACAAGCATTCCTATACATCGATAATAGACAAGTAGAGAGCCAAATCATGAGTGAACGCCTATTCATAATTGCTACAAAGAGAATAAAATACCTAAGAATACAACTTACAAGGGACGTAAAGGACCTCTTCAAGGAGAATGACAAACCACTGCGAGGTAATCAGAGAGCACACAAACAAACGGAAAAAAATTGTATGCTCATGGATAGGAAGAATCAATATTGTGAAATGGCCATACTGTTCAAAGTAACTTATAGATTCAATGAAATTCCAACAAGCTACCTTTGACTTTCTTTGCAGAATTAGAAAAATCTACTTTAAATTTCATATGGAACCAAAAAATAACCCGTATAGGTAAGACACTCCTAAGCAAAAAGAACAAAGCTGGAAGCATCACGCTACCTGAGTTCACACTATACTACAAGGCTACAGTAACCAAAACAGCATGGTACTGGAACCAAAACAGATATATAGACCAATGAAACAGAACAAAGACCTCAGAAATAATACCACACACCTACAACCATCTGATCTTCAACAAACTTGGCAAAAACAAGCAATGGGGAAGAGATTCCCTATTTAATAAATGGTGCTGGGAAAACTGGCTAGCGATATGCAGAAAACAGAAACTGGACCTACTCCTTACACCTTATACAAAAATTAGCTCAAGAAGAATTAAAGACTTAAATGTAAGACCTAAACACATAAAAAATCCTAGAAGAAAACCTAGGCAATACCATTCAGGACATAGGCATGGGCAAAGACTTCATGACTAAAACATCAAAAGCAATGGCAACAAAAGCCAAAATTGACATATGGGATCTAATCAAACTTATGAGTTTCTGCACAGCAAAAGAAACTATCATCAGAGTGAACAGGCAACCAACAGAATGGGAGAAAATTTTTACAAGCTATCCATCTGACAAAGGTCTAATATCCAGAATCTACAAGGAACTTAAACAAATTTACAAGAAAAAAAAACCATCAAAAAGTGGGAGAAGTATGTGAACAGACACTTCTCAAAAGACATTTATGCAGCTAAGAAAGATATGAAAAAAGGTTCATCATCACTGGTCATTAGAGAAATGCAAATCAAAACCACAATGAGATACCATCTCACGCCAGTTAGAATGGCTATTAAAGAGTCAGGAAAGAACAGACGCTGGTGAGTCTGTGAATAAATAGAAATGCTTTTACACTGTTGGTGGCAGTGTAAATTACTTCAATCAATGTGGAAGACAGTGTTTTGGTTCCTCAAGGATCTAGAACCGGAAACACCATTTGACCCAGCAATCCCACTCCTGGGTATATATCCAAAGGATTATAAATAATTCTACTATAAAGACACATGCATGCATATGTTTATTGCAGCACTATTCACAATAGCAAAAACTTGGAACCAACCCAAATGTCCATCAGTGATAGACTGGATTAAGAAAATGCGGCACATATACACCATGGAATACTATGCAACCGTAAAATAGAATGAGTTCATGTCCTTTGCCGGGACATAGATGAAGCTGGAAGCCATCATTCTCAGCAAATTTAAATAGGAACAGAAAACCAAACTCTCACTCATAATTGGGAGTTGGACAATGAGAACACATGGACCCAGGGAGGGGAACATCAAATACTGGGGCATGCTGTGGGGTAGGGGTGATGGGGAGGGAGAGTATTAAGACAAATACCTAATGCATGCGGGGCTTAAAACCTAGATGATGGGTTGACAGGTGCAGCAAAACACCATGGCACATGTATACCTATGTAACAAACCTACACATTCTGCCTATGTATCCCAGAACTTAAAGTAAATAAATAAATAAATAGAAATTAAATTTTTTAAAAATATTCATTTAATGTTAAAAAATCAGTAAAGGAGGAGTACAAGGAAAAAAGGCATGAACATATGGAAAATAAAAACTAAATTTACAGACATCAATCTAACAGTACCAACAATAACACTAAATGTGAATTGATTAAACATTCCAATCAAAAGGAAGATATAGTATGACTGCACAAAACAAGCAAATAGTATCCAACTATATGCTTTCTACAGGAGACACGCTTTGATCAAAGATACAAAAAAGTTTAAAGCAAACCATAAAAAAGGACATAACATGGAAATAGCAGCCGTAAGGAATCTTCAGTGGCTATACTAACATCTGACTGAATAACAAACGAAAGAAACGAAAAATACTTTGTGAAGAATGAAACGAAGATATAACATACTAAAAACTCCAGTATGCAGCTTAAGCAATGCTGAGAGGAAAATTTATAGCCATAAGCAAGTATGTTAAAGAAAGGAAAAGAGAAGAAAAGAAAAGAAAAAAAGGCTGAGCCCAGTGGGTTGCACCTGAAATCCCAGCACTTTGGGAGGCTGGGGTGGAAAGATTGCTTGAGTCCAGGGTATTGAGACCAGACTGGGCAACATAGGTAGACCCTGTCTCAATCAATCAATCAATCAATCAATCAATCAATAATCTGGGCATGGTAGCAAAGGCCTGTAGTCCCAACTACTTGAAAGGCTCGGGTGGGAGGATCACTTGAGCCAGGGAGGTTGAGGCTGCAGTGAGCCGTGATCCATGATCATGCCACTGCACTCCTGCCTGCGTGACAGAATGGGACCCTGTCTCAAAACAAGGAAAAAAGAAAACAAAATTACCTCAAATCAATATCCTCACCATTCACATTAAAATATAGAAAAATAAAAAAAACTAAACTGAAAGCAAACAGAAAAAAGGAAATAAAGATTATAGCACAAATTAATGAAGTATTAAAGAAAAAATATATACAAAAGCAAATAATCTAAAAGTTGGTTCTTTGAACACAGATAAAAGGAAAGACCTCCGTTTTTATGGACTGGGAGAATTAATATTGCCGGGTGCGGTGGCTCATGCCTGTAATCCCAGTACTTTGGGAGGTCGAGGCAGGTGGATTACCTGAGGTAAAAAGTTTGAGACCAGCCTGACCAACATGATGAAATCCCATCTCTACTAAAAATACAAAAAAAAATTAGCCAGGCATGTCATGGGAGGCTGAGGCAGGAGAATTGCTTGAACCCGGGAGGCAGAGGTTGCGGTGAGCCAAGATTGTGCCACTGCACTCCAGCCTGGGTGAGAGAGAAAGACTGTCTTAAAAAAAAAAAAAGAATTGATATTGTTAAAATCCCCATGCTATCCAAACTGATCTATAGATTCAATGAAATCCCTATGAAAATACCAAAGAAATACTCTACAGAAATAGAAAAAAAAAATCCTAAAATTCACATGAAACCACAAAAGACCCCAAATAGCCAAAGTACTATTGAACAAGAATAACAACGCTGGAGGCATCCCACTTTCTGATTTCAAAATATATTACAAAGTTAAGTGGGACTGAATCAAACTAAAAAGCATTTGCAGAGCAAAGAAAACAAGCAATAGAGTGACAAATGTGTCCCAGGGGGCAGGGCCAGGGCTTGGATCCTACTGTGTGCCCAGTCTCCTTCTCTTCCCTGCAGGTTCCACCATTCTCCCATCCTAATGGCATCATTAGGGATTGGAAAGCAGGTATTGTTGATGGGAACCAGGAGATTTGAGCTGTAGTCCTGTCCCCACTGCTCACTGACTTCGTCCTTGGATGAGTCACGCAATCTATTAGTTTACTAAAGCAGAAAATGTGATACACATACACACACTAATTCACTGAAATATTATTCAGCTTTTATAATAAAGTAAATCCTGACATTTATGACAACTTGGATGAACCTGGAGGATATTATGCTAAGTGAAGCAATTCAGACACAGAAAGACAAATATTGCATTATCTCACATATGCAAAAGTGGAAATACACTTAGAGAAAGTAGAATGGTGGTTGCGAGGGTGAAGCAGGGGAGGGGAGAAGGAAGAAAATGACAATTATGTGACGCGATGGATGTTAATTTATATAAAATATTGAGTTGTATACCTTAAATATATTCAATTTTTGTCTCATAATTCAATAAAGCTGGAAAAAAGCAGCTTCTTTGAAAAGGTCAAAACGGTTGACAAAACTTTAGCTAGGTTGACCAAGACAAGAAGAGAAACTAACATTATTATAATCAAGAGCAAAGGCCGGGCACGGTGGCTCACACCTGTAATCCCAGCACTTTGGGAAGCCGAGGTGGGCAGATCACGAGGTCAAGAGATCGAGACCATCCTGGCCAACATAATGAAATCCCGTCTAAATTTTGTATTAAAAAAAATACAAAAATTAGCTGGGCATGGTGGCGTGTGCCTGTAGTCTCAGCTACTCGGGAGGCCGAGGCTGAAGAATCACTTGAACGTAGGAGGCGGAGGTTGCAGTGAGCCAAGATCTCGCCACTGCACTCCAGCCTGGTGACAGAGCTAGACTTCATCTCAAAAAAAAAAAAAAAAAAAAAAAAAGAGTGAAAAGAGGGACCTATCTCAGAGAATTAAAAAGATTGTAATGGAGTATTATTAATAACAATATTCCAACAAATCAGATAACCTGTACAAAATGGATAAATTCCTAGAAAAACACAAACTATCAAAACTGACTTTAGAAGATATGAATAGACAAAACAAGTAATGAAATGAATTTGTAATTGGAAAAATCTCTCACAAAGAATAGCCCAGGCCCAGAGGGCTTCACTGTTGAATTCTACCCAACATTTGAGGAAGAATTAGTATCAATTTTTCACAAACCCTCCAAAAAAAACAGAAGAGGAGGAAACACTTCCCAACTCATTCTATGAGGCCACTTCTTATAGCAGTCTGTTATGTCCTCTAAATGTTAAACACAAAGTTACTTTTTTTTTTTCAAGGCAGGGAGTGCAGTGGCATGATCATAGCTCACTGCAGCCTGGAACTCCTGGGCTCAAGCAATCCTCCTGCCTAGGCCTCAAAAAGCACTGAAAAATAAATAAATAAAATATGATAAAATGGAATCTTATTCACCAATAAATAGGAATAAAGTACTCATACGACATGAATGAATCGTGAAAGAATTTTGTTAAGAGAAAAAAGCCAGTGACAAAATGCCAAATATTGTATGGTTTTATTGCTTTGAAATGACTATAACAAACAAATTCATACACACAGAGACTAAAGTAGTTATTGCCTAGGGTTGCAAGGTTTGGAGAGAAAGGGGAGTAACTGGTAATAGGTACGTGGTTTCTTTTTAGAGTAATGAAAATATCGTAACATTGATTTGGTGATGGTTACAAACTTCACTGAATATACTCAAAATCATTGAATCATATACTTTAAATGGGTAAATTGTAGGATATGTCATTTTATTTCAATAAAACATTTACTAAAGCAAGCATCTAAAATTTCTTTTTATTATTATTATTATTATTATTATATGTTAACTTCTAGTGTACATGTGCACAATGTCCAAGTTTGTTACATAGGTATACATGTGCCATGCTGGTTTGCTGCACTCATTAACTTATCATTAACATTAGGTATTCTCCTAATGCTATCCCTCCCCCTGACCCCTACCCCATGACAGGCCCCCATGCATGATGTTCCCTGTCCTGTGTCCAAGTGTTCTCATTGTTCAATTCCCACCTATGAGTGAGAACATACGGTGTTTGGTTTTCTGTCCTTGTGATAGTTTGCTGAGAATGATGGTTTCCAGCTTCATCCATGTCCCTGCAAAGGAAAATGGACTCATCCTTTTTTATGGCTGCATAGTATTCCATGGTGTATATGTGCCACATTTTCTAAATCCAGTCTATCATTGATGGACATTTGGGTTGGTTCCAAGTTTTTGCTATTGTGAGTAGTGCCACAATAAACATACATGTACATGTTTCTTTATATTAGCATGATTTATAATCCTTTGGGTACATACCCAGTAATGGGATGGCTGGGTCAAATGGTATTTCTAGCTCTAGATCCATGAGGAATCACCACACTGTCTTCCACAATGGCTGAACTAATTTAAACTCCCACTAACAGTGTAAAAGTGCTCCTATTTCTCCACATCCTTTCCAGCACCTCTTGTTTCCTGACTTTTTAATGATCGCCATTCTAACTGGTGTGAGACGATATCTCACTGTGGTTTTGATTTGCATTTCTCTGACGGCCAGTGATGATGAGCATTTTTTCATGTGTCTGTTGGCTGCATAGGTGTCTTTTTTTGAGAAGTGTCTGTTCATATCTTTGCCCACTTTTTGATGGGGTGGTTTGTTTTTTTCTTGTAAATTTGTTTAAGATCTTTGTAGATTCTGGATATTAGCCCTTTGTCAGATAGGTAGATTGTAAAAATTTTCTCCCATTCTGTAGGTTGCCTATTCACTGTGATGGCAGTTTCTTTTGCTGTGCAGAAGCTCTTTAGTTTAATTAGATCCCATTTGTCAATTTTGGCTTTTGTTGCCATTGCTTTTGGTGTTTTAGTTATGAAGTCCTTGCCCATGCCTATGTCCTGAATGATACTGCCTAGGTTTTCTTCTAGGGTTTTTATGGTTTTAGGTTTAACATTTAAGTCTTTAATCCGTCTTGAATTAATTTTTGTATAAAGTGTAAGGAAGGGATCCAGTTTCAGCTCTCTACAGATGGCTAGCCAGTTTTCCCAGCACCATTTATTAAACAGGGAATCATTTCCCCATTGCTGGTTTTTGTCAGGTTTGTTGAAGATGAGATGGTTGTAGATGTGTGGTGTTATTTCTGAGGCCTCTGTTCTGTTCCATTGGTCTATCTCTCTGTTTTGGTACCAGTACCATGCTGTTTTGATTACTGTAGCTTTGTAGTATAGTCTGAAGTCAAGTACCATGATGCCTCCAGCTTTGTTCTTTTGGCTTTGGATTGTCTTGGTAATGTGGGCTCTTTTTTGGTTCCATATGAACTTTAAAGTAGTGTTTTCCAATTCTGTGAAGAAAGTCATTGATAGCTTGATGGAGACGGCATTGAATCTATAAATTAACTTGGGGAGTATGGCCATTTTGATGATATTGATTCTTCCTATCCATGAGCATGGAATGTTCTTCCATTTGTTTGTGTCCCCTTTTATTTCCTAGAGCAGTGGTTTGTAGTTCTCCTTGAAGAGGTCCTTCACATCACTTGTAAGTTGTATGCCTAGGTGTTTTATTCTCTTTGAAGCAATTGTGAATGGGAGTTCACTCATAATTTGGCTCTCTGTCTGTTATTGGTGTATAAGAATGGTTGTGATTTTTGCACATTGATTTTGAATCCAGAGACTTTGCTGAATTTGCTTATCAGCTTTTTTTAATTATACTTTCGGTTCTAGGCTACATGTGCACAATGTGCAGGTTTGTTACATATGTATACATGTGCCATGTTGGTGTGCTGCACTCGTTAACTCATCATTTACATTAGGTATATCTCCCAATGCTATCCCTCCCCCCATCCCCCACCCCAAAACAGGCCCCTGTGTGTGATGTTCCCCACCCTGTGTCCCAGTGTTCTCATTGTTCAATTCCCACCTATGAGTGAGAACGTGCTGTGTTTGGTTTTCTGTCCTTGCAATAATTTGCTGAGTGATGGTTTCCAGCTTCATCCATGTCCCTGCAAAGGACAAGAACTCATCCTTTTATATGGCTGCATAGTATTCCATGGTGTATATGTGCCACATTTTCTTAATCCAGTCTATCACTGATGGACATTCGGGTTGGAGAATTCTTCAAATGGAAGAACATTCCATGCTCACGGATAGGAAGAATCAATATTGTGAAAATCAATGCCATCCCCATCAAGCTACCAATGACTTTCTTCACAGAATTGGAAAAAAAAACTATCTCCCTATCCCTCTCCCTCTCCCTCTCCCTCTCCCCTTTGCACAGTCTCCCTCTGATGCCCAGCCGAGGCTGGACTGTATTGCAGCTATCTCGACTCACTGCAAACTCCCTGCCTGATTCTCCTGCCTCAGCCTGCCGAATGCCTGGGATTGCAGGCGTGCGCCTCCACGCCTGACTGGTTTTCATATTTTTTGGTGGAGACAGGGTTTCGCCGTGTTGGCCGGGCTGGTCTCCAGCTCCTGACCGCGAGTGATCTGCCAGCCTCAGCCTCCCGAGGTGCCAGGATTGCAGAGGGAGTCTCGCTCACTCAGTGTTCAATGTTGCCCAGGCTGGAGTGCAGTGGCGTGATCTCGGCTCGCTACAACCTCCACCTGCCAGCCGCCTGCCTTGGCCTCCCAAAGTGCCGAGATTGCAGCCTCTGCCCGGCCGCCACCCTGTCTAGAAAGTGAGGAGTGTCTCTGCCTGGCCGCCCATCGTCTGGGATGTGAGGAGCCCCTCTGCCTGGCCACCCAGTCTGGGAAGTGAGGAGCGCCTCTTCCCAGCAGTCATCCCGTCTAGGAAGTGAGGAGCGTCTCTGCCCAGCCGCCCATCGTCTGGGATGTGGGGAGCACCTCTGCCCCGCCGCCCCGTCTGAGATATGAAGAGCTCCTCTGCCCGGCCGTGACCCCGTCTGGGAACTGAGGAGTGTCTCTGCCCCGCCGCCACCCCGTCTGGGAGGTGAGGAGCATCTCTGACTGGCCGCCCCGTCTGAGAAGTGAGGAGCCCCTCCGCCCAGCAGCCGCCCCATCTGGGAATTGAGGAGCCCCTCCGCCCGGCAGCTGCCCCATCCGGGAGGTGGGGGGCAGCCCCCGCCCGGCCAGCCGCCCCGTCAGGGAGGTGGGGGGCAGCCGCCGCCCAGCCAGCCACCCCATCTGGGAGGTGGGGGGTGCCTCTGCCTGGCTGCCCCGTCTGGGAAGTGAGGAGCCCCTGTGCCCGGCCGCCACCCCATCTGGGAGGTGTACCCAACAGCTCATTGAGAAGGGGCCATGATGACGATGGCGGTTTTGTCGAATAGAAAAGGGGGAAATGTGGGGAAAAGAAAGAGAGATCGGATTGTTACTGTGTCTGTGTTGAAGGGGGTAGACATAGGAGACTCCATTTTGTTCTGTACTAAGAAAAATTCTTCTGCCTTGGGATGCTGTTAATCTATAACCTTATCCCCAACCCCGTGCTCTCTGAAACGTGCTGTGTCCACTAAGGGTTAAATGGATTAAGGGCGGTGCAAGATGTGCTTTGTTAAACAGATGCTTGAAGGCAGCGTGCTCGCTAAGAGTCATCACCACTCCCTAATCCCTAGTTCCCAGGGACACAAACACTGCGGAAGGCCGCAGGGCCCTCTGCCTAGGAAAACCAGAGACTTTGTTCACATGTTTATCCGCTGACCTTCCCTCCACTATTGTCCTATGAACCTACCAAATCCCCCTCTCCGAGAAACACCCAAGAATGATCAATAAATACTAAAAAAATTAAAAAAAAAAGGGACAAAAAACCAAAGCTTATTAAAATGGACAGTTTTCCCCAATTAATCTATAAACCTCAGAATGCCAAGATGCTTAAAGATATAATCGATTACACTTATAAGTGCTTTCTATGAAAGAGAGGAACAGGAATAATGAGAGATTGATTATGAATGTACTTATTTATAATATAACTGTTAGTGAATACATACTTTTTATTTGTTTATTTTAAGTTGGTCATTTTATTCACACGCAAATTATTCATTATGGAAAAATGAGTCAAATGTATAATTTAATGTAATAAAGGGAATCAAATAACAAACAAACAAAAAAAACTATTTTAAAGTTCATATGGAACCAAAAAAAGCCCGCATTGTCAAGACATTCTGAAGTCAAAAGAAAAAAGCTGGAGGCATCACGCTACCTGACTTCAAACTATACTACAAGGCTACAGTAACCAAAACAGCATGGTACTGGTTCCAAAACAGAGATATAGACCAATGGAACAGAATAGAGCCCTCAGAAATAATACCACACATCTACAACCATCTGATCTTTGACAAACCTGACAAAAGCAAGAAATGAGGAAAGGATTCCCTGTTTAATAAATGGTGCTGGGGAATCTGGCTAGCCATCTGTAGAGAGCTGAAACTGGATCCCTTCCTTACACTTTATACAAAAATTAATTCAAGATGGATTAAAGACTTAAATGTTAGACCTAAAACAGTAAAAACCCTAGAAGAAAACCTAGGCAATACCATTCAGGACATAGGCATGGGCAAGGACTTCATGTTTAAAACACCAAAAGCAATGGCAACAAAAGCCAAAATTGACAAATGGGATCTAATTAAACTAAAGAGCTTCTGCACAGCAAAAGAAACTGCCATCACAGTGAATAGGAAACTTAAAGAATGGGAGAAAATTTTTGCAACCTACTCATCTGACAAAGGGCTAATATCCAGAATCTACAATGAGCTTATCAGCTTAAGGAGATTATGGGTGAAGACAATGGGGTTTTCTAAGTATAAAATTCATGTCATCTGCAAACTGGGACAATTTGACTTCCTCTTTTCCTAATTGAATACCCTTTATTTCTTTCTCTTGCCTGATTGCCCTGGCCAGAACTTTCAAAACTATGTTGAATAGGAGTGGTGAGGCAGGGCATCCCTGTCTTGTGCCAGTTTTCAAAGGGAATGCTTCCAGTTTTTGCCCATTCAGTATGATATTGACTGTGGGTTTGTCATAAATAGCTCTTATTATTTGGAGATATGTTCCATCAATACCTAGTTTATTGAGAGTTTTCAGCATGAAGGGTTGTTGAATTTTGCCAAAGGCTTTTTCTTCATCTATTGAGATAATCATGTGGTTTTTGTCATTGGTTCTCTTTATATGCTGGATTACGTTTATTGATTTGCGTATGTTGAACCAGCCTTGCATCCCAGGGATGAAGCCCACTTGATCATGGTGGATAAGCTTTTTGATGTGCTGCTGGATTCAGTTTGCCAGTATTTTATTGAGGATTTTCACATCGATGTTCATCAGGGATATTGGTCTAAAAGTCTTTTTTTTTTTTGCTGTGTCTCTACCAGGCTTTGGTATGAATGAAGGCTTTGCCTTCATTTCGTTAATTACTCAGTAGTCATTCAGGAGCAGGTTGTTCAGTTTCCATGTAGTTGAGCAGTTTTGAGTGAGTTTCTTAATTCTGAGTTCTAATTTGATTGCACTGTGTTCTGAGAGACAGTTTGTTGTGATTTCTATTCTTTTACATTTGCTGAGGAGTGCTTTACTTTCAACTATGTGGTCAATATGGGAGTAAGTGTGATGCGGTGCTGAGAAGAATGTATATTCTATTGATTTGGGGTGGAGAGTTCTGTAGATGTCTATTAGGTCCACTTGGTGCAGAGCTGAGTTCAAGTCCTGGATATCCTTGTTAATTTTCTCTCTTGATGATCTGTCTGTTACTGACAGTAGAGTGTTAAATTTTCCCACTAACATTGTGTGGGAGTCTAAGTCTCTTTGTAAGTATCTAAGAATTTACTTTATGAATCCGGGTGCTCCTGCATTCGGTGCATATATATTTAAGATAGTTAGCTCTTCTTCTTTCAGTGATCCATTTACCATTATGTAATGCCCTTCTCTGTCTCTTTGTTGGTTTAAAGTCTGTTTTATCAGAGAGTAGGATTGCAACCGCTGCTTTTTTTTTTTCTTTCCATTTGCTTGGTAAATATTCCTCCATCCCTTTATTTTGAGCCTATGTATGTTTTTGCACATGAGATGGGTCTCCTGAATACTGAACACCAATGGGCCTTGACTCTTTATCCAATTTGCCAGACTATGTCTTTTAATTGGGACATTTAGCCCATTTACATTTAAGGTTAACATTGTTATGTGTGAATTTGATCATGTCTTTATGATGCTAGCTGATTATTTTGCCTGTTAGTTGATGCAGTTTATTTTTTTTCTTTTTTTTTTATCATTCATGGTTCTTTTTTCTATTTTTCATTTTTTATTTTTATTATATTTTAAGTTTTAGGGTACATGTGCACAATGTGCAGGTTTGTTACATATGTATACATGTGCCATGTTGGTATGCTGCACCCATTAACTCTTCGTTTAACATTAGGTGTATCTCCTAATGCTATCCCTCCCCCCTCCCCGCTCCCCCCACCCTACAACAGGCCCCAGTGTGTGATGTTCCCCTTCCTGTGTCCATGTGTTCTCTTTGTTCAATTCCCACCTAAGAGTGAGAACATGCAGTGTTTGTTTTTTTGTCCTTGCAATAGTTTGCTCAGAATGATGGTTTCCAGCTTCATCCATGTCCCTACAAAGGACATGAACTCATCATTTTTTATGGCTGCATAGTATTCCATGGTGTACATGTGCCACATTTTCTTCATCCAGTCTATCATAGTTGGTTCCAAGTCTTTGCTATTGTGAATAGTGCCACCATAAACATACGTGTGCATGTGTCTTTATAGCAGCATCTTTTATTATCCTTTGGGTATATACCCAGTAATGGGATGGCTGGGTCAAATGGTACTTCTAGTTCTAGATCCCTGAGGAATCACCACACTGACTTCCACAATGGTTGAACTAGTTTACAGTCCCACCAACAGTGTAAAAGTGTTCCTATTTCTCCACATCCTCTCCAGCACCTGTTGTTTCCTGACTTTTTAATGATTGCCATTCTAACTGGTGTGAGATGGTATCTCATTGTGGTTTTGATTTGCATTTCCCTGATGGCCAGTGATGATGAGCATTTTTTCATGTGTCTTTTGGCTGCATAAATGTCTTCTTTTGAGAAGCGTCTGTTCATACCCTTTGCCCACTTGTTGATGGGGTTGTTTGTCAATGCAAAAATCCTCAGTAAAATACTGGCAAACCGAATCCAGCAGCACATCAAAAAGCTTATCCACCATGATCAAGTGGGCTTCATCCCTGGGATGCAAGGCTGGTTCAACATATGAAAATCAAAAAATGTAATCCAGCATATAAACAGAACCAAAGACAAAAACCACAGGATTATCTCAATAGATGCAGGAAAGGCCTTTGACAAAATTCAACAATGCTTCATGCTACAAACTCTCAATAAATTAGGTATTGATGGGATGTATCTCAAAATAATCAGAGCTACCTAAGACAAACCCACAGTCAATATACTGAATGGGCAAAAACTGGAAGCACTCCCTTTGAAAATGGGCACAAGACAGGGATGCCCTCTCTCACCACTCCTATTCAACATAGTGTTGGAAGTTCTGGCCAGGGCTATCAGGCAGGAGAAGGAAATAAAGTGTATTCATTAGGAAAAGAGGAAGTCAAATTGTCCCTGTTTGCAGATGACATGATTATATATCTAGAAAACCCCATTGTCTCAGCCCACAACCTCCTTAAGCTGATAGGTAACTTCAGCAAAGTCTCAGGATACAAAATCGATGTGCAAAAATCACAAGCATTCTTATACACCAATAACAGACAAACAGAGAGCCAAATCATGAGTGAACTCCCATTCACAATTGCTTCAAAGAGAATAAAATACCTAGGAATCCAACTTACAAGGGACATGAAGGACCTCTTCAAGGAGAACTACAAACCACTGCTCAGTGAAATAAAAGAGGATACAAACAAATGGAAGAACATTCTATGATCATGGGTAGGAAGAATCAATATTGTGAAAATGGCAATACTGCCCAAGGTAATTTATAGATTCAATGCCATCTCCATCAAGCTACCAATGACTTTCTTCACAGAATTGGAAAAAACAACTTTAAAGTTCATATGGAACCAAAAAGGGCCCACATTGCCAAGAGAATCCTAAGCCAAAAGAATAAATCTGGAGGCATCATGCTACCTGACTTTGAACTATGCTACAAGGCTATAGTAACCAAAACAGTATGGCACTGGTACCAAAACAGAGATATACACCAATGGAACAGAACAGAGCCCTCAGAAATAATACCACATATCTACAACCATCCGATCTTTGACAAACCTGACAAAAACAAGAAATGGAGAAAGGACTCCCTATTCAATAAATGGTGCTGGCAAAACTGGCCAGCCATATGTAGAAAGCTGAAACTGGATCCCTTACTTACACCTTATACAAAAATTAATTCAAGATGGATTAAAGACTTACATGTCAGACCTAAAACCATAAAAACCCTAGAAGAAAACCTAGGCAATACCATTCAGGACATAGGCATGGGCAAGGACTTCATGTCTAAAACACCAAAAGCAATGGCAATAAAAGCCAAAATTGACAAATGGGATCTAATTAAACTAAAGAGCTTTTGCACAGCAAAAGAAACTACCATCAGAGTGAACAGGCAACCTACAGAATGGGAGACAATTTTTGCAATCTACTCATCTGACAAAGGGCTAATATCTACAATTGTAGAATCTACAATTAACTCAAACAAATTTACAAGTTGCAGTTTCTTCAGAGTGTCGATGGTCTTTAAAATCTGGTATGTTTTTGCAGTGGCCAGGAGTGGTTTTTCCTTTCCATGTTCAGTGCTTCTTTCAGGAGCTCTTGTAAAGCAGGCCTGGTGGTGGCAATATCAGCATTTGCTTGTCTGTAAAGGATTTTATTTCTCCTTTGCTTATGAAACTATTTGGCTGGATATGAAATTCTGGGTTGAAAATTCTTTTCTTTAAGAATGTTGAATATTGGTCCCCACTCTCTTTTGGCTTGTAGGGTTTCTGCTGAGAGATCTGCTGTTAGTCCGATAGGCTTTCCTTTCTGGGTAACCTGACCTTTCTCTCTGGCTGCCCTTAACATTTTTTCTTTCATTTCAACCTTGGCGAATCAGACAATTGTGTGTCTTGGGTTTGCTTTTCTCGAGGAGTATCTTTGTGGTGTTCTCTGTATTTCTTGAATTTGAATGTTGGCCTGTCTTGCTAGGTTGGGGAAGTTCTCCTGGATAATATCCTGAAGAGTGTTTTCCAACTTGGTTCCATTCTCCCCATCACTTTCAGGTACACCAATCAAATGTAGATTTGGTCTTTTCACACAGTCCCGTATTTCTTGGAGGCTTTGTTCATTTCTTTTCATTCTGCTTTCTCTAATCTTGTCTTCACACTTTATTTCATTAAGGTGATCTTCAATCTCTGATATCCTGTCTTCTGCTTGATCTATTTGGATATTGATATTTGTGTATGCTTCATGAAGTTCTTGTGCTGTGTTTTTCAGCTCCATCAGGCCATGTATGTTCTTCTCTAAACTGGTTATTCTAGTTAGCAATTTCTCTAACTTTTTTCAAGGTTCTTAACTTCCTTACATTGGGTTAGAACATGCTCCTTTAGCTTGGAGGAGTTTGTTATTACCCATCTTCTGAAGCCTACTTCTGTCGGTTCATCAAACTCATTCTCTGTCCAGTTTTGTTCCCTTGCTGGTAGGGAGTTGTGAACCTTTGGAGGAGAAGAGGCATTCTGGTTTATTGAATTTTCAGCCTTTTTGCACTGTTTTTTTCTCATCTTCATGGATTTATCTACCTTTGGTCCTTGATGTTGGTGACCTTTGTATGGGGTTTTTGGGTGTACATCCTTTTTGTTGGTGTCGATGCTATTCCTTTCTGCTTGTAGTTTTCCTTCTAACAGCCAGGCCCCTCTTCTCCAGGTCTGCTGGAGTTTGCTGGAGGTCCATTCCAGACCCTGTTTGCCTGGGTATCACCAGCGGAGGCTGCAGAACAGCAAAGATAGCTGTCTCTTCCTTCCTGTGGAAGCTTCATCTTAGTGGGCACTTGCCAGATGCCAGCTGGAGCTCTCCTGTATGAGGTGTCTGTCAACCCCTGCTGGAAGCTGTCTCCCAGTCAGGAGGCACAGGGGTCAGGGACCTACTTGAGGAGACTTTCTCTTTCCTTGCTTTCGTTTCCTTGCCCTTCCTTGCTTCCTTCCTCCCTCCCTCCCTTCCTTCTTTCTTTCTTTTTTCTTTCTTTCCTTCCTCCCTCCCTTCCTTTCTTTTCCTTTCTCTTTCTTTCTTTCTTCCTTTCTTTCAATTTTTCTTTCTCTCTTTGTCTTGCTTGCTTGCTGTTGTAAAAGGGGCTGTGTTCTTGATCTGATTCTCAGCTTGGTCACTGTTGGTGTATATCAGTGCTACTGATTTGTGTACACTGATTTGTTTTGTCCTGAAACTTTACTGATTCATTTATCAAATCTAGGAACTTTCTGGATTAGTCTTTACGGTTTTCTAGGTATACAATCATATCATTGGTGTCCAGCAACAGTTTGAGTTCCTCTTTTCCAATTTGGATGCCTTTCATTTTATTCTCTTGTCTGATTGCTTTGTCTATGACTTCCGGTATTATGCTGACTAGAAGTGGTGAAAGTGGGCATCCTTGTATTGTTCTAGTTTTCAGGGCGAATGCTTTCATCTTTTCCCTATTCAGTATGACGTTGACTGTGGGTTTGTCTTAGACGGCTTTTATTACTTTGACATATGTCCTTTCTATGCCAATTTTGTGAGTGTTTTCATATTAATGGGATGCTGGATTTTGTCAAGTACTTTTTCCCCACCAATTTTTGTTTTAAATTCTGTTTATGTGATGTATCACATGTATTCACCCATGTATGTTAAGCTATCCCTGCATCACTGGTATGAAACTCACTTGATTATGATGTGTAATCTTTTTGATATGCTGTTAAATTCGGTTAGCTAGTATTTTGTTAAGGATTTTTGCATCTATGTTCATCAGGGATATTGGTCTGTCATTAATAGTAGCCTTGAATGATCTTTTGTTTTTCTAAGGTATCGGTTGTAATATCTCTCCTTTCATTTCTAATTCAGCTTGTTTGGATGCTCTCTCTTGTTTTCTTGGTTAATCTAACTAATGGTCTATCAATTTTGTGTATCTTTTCAAAGAACCAGCTTTTTGTTTCATTTATCTTTTGCATATTTTTTGTTTCAATTTCATTTAGTTCTGCACTGATCTTTGTTACTTCTTTTCTTCTGCTGGGTTTGGATTTAGTTTGTTCTTGTTTCTCTAGTTCCTTGAGATGTGCTCTTTCAGACTTTTTGATGTAGGCATTTAATGCTGTAAGCTTTTTCTATTAGCACAGCTTTGCTTTATCCCAAAGGTCTTGATAAGTTGTGTAATGATTATCATTTAGTTTAAATAATTTCTAAATTTAAATCTTGATTTCCTTATTAACCCAAAGATAATTCAAGAGCAGATTATTTAATTTCCATGTATTTGTTAATGTTGAGGATTCCTTTTAAAATAAATTTCCAGTTTTATTCCACCATAGTCTAAGACTATACTTTATATGATTTAGATTTTCTTAAATTTATTGAGACTTATTTTGTGGCCTATCATATGGTCTATCTTGGAGAATGTTCCACGTGCTGATGAGAAGAATGTATATTCTGCACTTGGGTTGAATGTTCTGTAAATATGTGTTAAGTCCACTTGGTCTAGCATATAGTTTAAGTCTACTGTTTCTTTGATGTCTTTCTGTCTTGATGATCTGTGTAGTGCTGTCAGTGGAGTATTGAAGTCTCCCACCATTACTGTGTTGCCATCTCTCTCATTTCTTAGGTCTAGTAGTAATTGTTTCATAAATTTTGGAGCACCAGTGTTAGGTACATATATATTTAGGATTGTAGTATTTTCCTTCTTTTTTTTTTTTTTAACTGTTGTTGCTTTAATGTCTATGTTGTCTGATATAAGAATAGCTACTCCTGTTTGCTTTTGGTTTACATTTGCATGGAATATGTTTTTCCACCCCTTTACCTGAAGTTTATGTGAGTCCTTATGTGTTAGGTGAATCTCTTAAAGATGGTGAACACTTGGTTGTTTTTTGTTTGTTTGTTTGTTTTTGTTTGTTTTTTGTTTTCTTTGAGATAGGGTCTCATTCTATCGCCCAGGCTGGAGTGCAGTGGCACAATCTCAGCTCACTGAAGCCTCCAACTGCCTCTTGGGTTCAAGCAATTCTCCTGCCTCATCCTCTCCAGTAGGTGGGACTACAGGCATCTACGACCATGCCCAGCTAATTTTTGCATTTTTAGTAGAGAAGGGGTTTCACCATGTTGGCCAGGTTGGTCTTGAACTCCTGATCTCAAGTGATCTGCCCACCTTGGTCTCCCAAAGTGCTGGGATTACAGGCGTTAGCCACTGCGCCCAGCCGGTTGGTGAGGTTTTATCCATTCTGCCATTTTGTATCTTTTAAGTGGGGCCCTTAGGCCATTTACATTCAATGTTAGTATTGAGATGTGAGGTACTACTCCTCTCCTCTCCTCTCCTCTCTTTACTTTTCTTTTCTTGATGGAGTTTCACTCTTGTTGCCCAGGCTGGAGTGGAATGGCACGATCTCAGCTAACTGATACCTCCACCTCCCAGGTTCAGGCCATTTACATTCAATGTTAGTACTGAGACGTGAGATACTGTTCCCTCCTCTCCTCTCCCCTCCCCTCCCCCTCCCCTCTTTTCTCCTCTCTTCTCTTCTTTTCTCTTCTTTTGTTTTCTTCTTTTCTTTTCAAGACAGAGTTTCACTCTTGTTGCCCAGGCTGGAGTGCAATGGCACAATCTCAGGCCATTTACATTCAATGTTAGTACTGAGATGTGAGGTACTGTTTCCTTTCTTCCTTTCCTTCTCCCCTCCCCTTCCCTCCCTTACCCTCTGCTTCTTTTCTCTTCTCTTCTTTTCTCTTTCTCTTTCTTTTCTTTTCTCTTCTCTTCTCTTGTCTTCTCTTCTTTTTCTTTTCAAGTCAGAGTTTCACTCTTGTTGTCCAGGCTGGAGTGCAATGGCACGATTTTGGCTCACTGCAACCGCACCTCCTAGGTTCAAGTGATTCTCCTGCCTCAGCCTCCCAAGTAGCTGAGATTACAGGCATGAGCTACCATGCCTAGCTAATTTTGCATTTTCAGTAGAGACGGGGTTTCACCATGTTGGTCAGGCTGGTCTTGAACCGCTGAACTCAAGTGATCCACCTGCCTCGGCCTGCCCAAAGTGCTGGTATTACAGGCCTGAGCCACTGTGCCCAGCTGGTGAGGTACTGTTCTATTCATTATGTAAGTTATTGCCTAAATACATTGTTTGTTTGTTTTTTCATTGTATTATTGTTTTATAGGCCCTATGAGCTTCACGGTTTAAGGAGTTTCTATTTTGGTGTATTTTGAGGTTTTGTTTCAAGATTCAAAACTCCTTTTAGCATTTCCAGTACTGCTGGTGTAGTAGTGGCAAATTCTCTTAGCATTTGTTTGAAAAAGACTTTACGTCTCTCCTTCATTAATGAAGCTTAGTTTTGCTGGATACCAAATTCTTGGCTAACAAGTATTTTGTTTAAGTAGGCTAAAGATGGGACCCCAGTTCCTTCTGGCTTGTAAAGTTTCTGCTGACAAATCTGCTGCTAATCTGACAGGTTTTCCTTTATGGGTTACCTGATACTTTTGTCTCACAGCTCTCAAGATTCTTTCCTTCATCTTGACTTTGGACCACCTGATGACTATGTGCCTTGGTGATGATCTTTTTTGTGATGAATTTCCCAGGAGTTCTTTGAGCTTCTTGTATTTGGATGTCTAGATCTCTAGTAAGGCCGGGAAAGTTTTCCTCAATTATTCCTTCAAATAAATTTTCCAAACTTTTTATTTCTATTCTTCCTCAGGAACACCAATTATTCTTAGGTTTGGCCATTTCACATGATCCTATATTTCTTGGAGACTTGGTTCATCTTTTAAAATTCTTTTTTCTTTGTTTTTGTCTGATTGGGTTAATTCGAAAGCCTTGTCTTCAAGCTCTGAAGTTCTTTCTTCTACTTGTTCTAGTCTGTTGTTGAAACTTTCTACTGTATTTTGTATTTCCCTAAGTGTGTCTTTCATTTCCAGAAGTTGTGATTGTTTTTTCTTTATGATATCTATTTATCTGGAAAATTTTTCATCCATATCCTACATATATTTTTTAATTTCTTTAAGTTCGTTTTCACCTTTCTCTGGTATTTCCTTGAGTAGCTCAATAATCAATCTGAATTCTTTATCTGGCAGTTCAGAGATTTCTTCTTGGGTTGGATCCATTGCTGGAGAGCTAGTGTGATCATTTAGGGGTATTAGAGAACCCTGTTTTGTCATATTATCAGAATTACTTCTTGGTTCCTTCTCATTTGGGTAGATTATGTCTTCAAATTGTTTTTGAATTTTTGACTGGACTGTTTATGTACGGTATTTTTTGCTTAGAATTACTTTTTTTCCCTCTTATGGATCATACTTTTATGTTTATTTTTGCCTATTTTGATTTTTTATGCTTTAGAGGTGAAGACTTTGTATCAGTTCCTTAGTTATAAAGTCTCTGTGCACTGGCTTTTCCTGATGTTGGTTATTGTAGTTATGTTCTTGGTGTGTGGGTGAGTTCACTGTCTCCTATGGAATTGGAATGGCAGGGATCTCTTGAAGCTTATCTCGTTCTCTCATGGTGTACAATTTATTTATTTATTTTCTTTTTCTCCAGTTTTTAATTTACTCAGTTGATGTGGGGAGGTATCCTTTGGTGAGCACCTGCCCCAGGTCATAAGCTTTCCCACTGAGAAAGCAAGCACAGCTTTCAGGCCATGCCCCTCCCCATCTTCCTGTAATGCCAAGTGCCCACACCTGTGCTCGTATCTGCCACAGTTCCCATTTGTGCCACAGATTCTTTTAAAGGGGGTTTATTCCCACTATAAATTAAAACAAGATTCTGCTGGAAGCTTCTTTCACCCTGTGACTCTTCCCTAATTCTGCTGGCTGCCTGACTCTTCCCTAATTCTGCTGGCTGCCTTCCCTCAGGGTGCCTGTAAGATATAGTCAGGGATGGCTTCCCTGGGCTTGAGCTGGAGACTGAGAATGCCTATATGGCTCTTCTCAATGCTACTTCTACTTTCATATTTTGCACCATTCCCTAAATCCATTCCAGCTCCAGGTAAGGTTAAAGCCTTCTCCTGTGATCTGGATTTTCAGATTCCCCAGTGGAGATGTGCATTCAGAGGCAGATTCTCCCCATCTCACACTCTGCAAACTTGTTTCCCCTTTTATTTTATGTTGTTTTAAAAAGAGTTTTTATATAAACCAGTAGAAGATCATTTATTTTTTAAATTAATTTTATTGTACTTCAGTGTCATCAAAAGATGCTTTATCATGCCTACTTTATAAAATTTATTAAGATTTTCCTTGTTATTTAACATATAGCCAATTAAAAAATATTCCATATGTATTTCAACAGATGTAATGTGCCATCATCTTTCACTCACTGGAACACGGAAACATGGCCAACTTACCTGTAAGGGAGACTAGAAAATGTAGTTTTTTAAATTGTAGTAAAATACAACTAAGATAAAATTTAAAATCAACTATTTTTCAGTGTACAGTTCAGTGGCAGTAAGTAGATTCACATTGTTGTGCAAGAATCACCACCATTAATCTCCAGAACTTTTTGTCTTCCTTAACTGAAACTCTGAACCCATTAACAATAACTCTTTATATCCCCTTTTTCCTTAACCTCTGGCAACCACCATTCTCCTTTTTGCCTCTGTGAATTTGATAGTATAGGTACCTTATATAAATGGAATCATACAGTATTTGTCTTCTTGTGCCTGGCTTACTCCACTTAGCATAATATTCTCAAGGTTCATCCATGTTGTAGCATGTTCAGAATTTCCCTATTTTTCAAAGCTGAATCATATTCCATTTGATGTATATACCACATTTTGTTTATCCAGTCATCTGTTGAAGGACAATTCAGTTGCTTGCTTCTTTTGGCTCTTATGAATAACGTGTCAATGAATATGAGTATACACATATCTCAAGTCACTGCTTTCCTTTCTTTTGGGCATATGCCCAGAAGTGAAACTGGTAGATCAAATAGTAAGTCTACTTTTAATTTTTTTGAGAAACCACCATACTGTTTTCCACAGAAGCTGTATCATTTAAATTTGCACCAACAGTGCACAAATGTTCCAGTTGCTCCACATTCTTGCTAACATTTGTTATTTTCTAGTTTTTGTTTTGTTTTGTTTTTGACAGTAATCATCCTAATGGATGTGAGGTGGTATTTTCATTACGGTTTTAATTCACATTTTCCTAATGATTGGTGATGTTGAGCATCGTTTCATGTGCTAATTGGCTAACTGGCATATCTTCTTTGAAGAAATGTCCATTCAAATTGGCTGCCTACTTTAAAAATTCAGTTATTTGTAGTTGTTGTTGTTGAGTTGTAGGAATTCTTTACATTTTCTGGATATTCACCCTTTATGAGATATATAATTTAGAAATATTTTTCCCCACTCAGTGAGTTGTCTTTTCATATTGTTGATTGTGTTCTTTGATGAGAAAAAGTAAACATATTTTTATTTTAGTAGGTGAATTAAGCCTATCTAAACTTATGGTTATAGTTGATGACGTGGGCTCAGCCATGCCATATTATTTTACAGTGTCTTTGTTTTGTTCGTTGTTATATTTAATATATGTTGTGATGCTTCATTGTGGGTGAGAATTCTGATGCCACCCATATTTTTTCCTTTATAAATGATCTAGTTTTTGCATATTGGCCTAGCAGATTTTTTTCCCCTTTGTCTTAAAAGTAGAAATTTCCTAAAAAATGAGTTACCAATTTTCCCAGACACAAAGTAGGTCTTTCAAATATACAGATTCAGAGTTTTTATTTACAAAAAGCTATCTCAATTATAATTTTAAATATTACTTCTGTTTAGTGCTTTGTTCTTCTTTCTAGATACTTCAATTAAACTTTTGTTATATTTTCTTTGCTGATCTTCTATATTTATTACTTTCTGCTCTGCTTTTTTTTAAAAAAACTCCTTCATTTCATGTTTGTTTTATTGGTTGTTCTCATGCCTTTTCTCAGTCACCCTTATTGGGTTGTTAGATGAGAACATTTGTTCTTTGTAATTTTATCTTTATTTTTGAGATGATTTTGTCTTTTTATTGACTTACTTTCTTGAAGTCAGTTGATTTTTATTTCATATTTCCTAAGGTTTTGTTGCCCATTTCTGTCATAATTTTTAAATTTTTGATTTGAGATTACTTTTCATATCTGAAAATGCTTGTTATTTTGGGAGTGTTAAATGACAGTTTTTCAATACTTCACCTTTTTTTTTTTTTTTTTTGGCCAGTTTGGCTAGATGTTTATTGATTTTAACCTTTTCAAAGAACTCTCTTTTGGTTTCATTGATTATCTGTTTTCTTTTTGTCTTTAATTTTATTGACAGTTGCTACAATCCTTATTTCTTTCTTTATTCTTGCTTTGGGTTTGATTTCATCTTCTTGTTTTAAGTAAGCCTTGCTTACTGATTTTAGATCTTTTCTAATCCATTTGGATTAGTGTCCCATTTCCACTTTTAAAAAAATGGTGTGCATTCTGCTACTCTTGTGTTGACTGTTCTATATATGTCAGTTAGGTCAATCAGTTGATAGGGTTCAGGCTACCAATATCATGCCCACTTGTTCTATCAATTACAGAGAGATTAGTTTTGAAGTTTCCAAATATAGCTGTGGATTTGTCTATTTCTCCTTTCAGATCTATAAATTTTTGTCTCATGTATTTTGAAGAGCTGTCTTAGGTACATACACAGTTAGCATTATTATGTCTTCTTGAGAAATGCCTTTATTATTATTTTATTATTGGGTTATGCCACTCTTTGTCTCTAATAATATTCCTTTATATCTACATTGTTGAAATTAGTACAGCTACACTAGCTTTCTTTTGGTTGGCATTTGTAAGCTATATCTTTTTTTTTTTTACTGTCAACTTATCTATAGTTTTGTATTTAAAGTTTGTTTCCTGTAGACAACATGTAGTTGAGTCTTGCTTTTTTCAAAATTGAATGTTAGAATCACTGTCTTTTAATTGGCATGTTTAAGCATTAAAATGAATATTGATATACTTGTATTTAAAATCTACCATATTTGTTATTTTCTATTTGTTCTTTATTTCTTTTTTCCCTCCTTTTCTGCCTTCTATGGGTTTAATTGAGCATTTTAATGGTTCTATTTCATCTCCACTATTTACTTAACATTTATACTTGAAAAACTTTTAGTGATTGTCCCAGGGTTTAAAATTTACATTTTAAAACTTAAAATTTAAAATGTATCAGCATGCTTGCTTTGCCTCTTGAGACTGTGTGTGTTTGCCTTGTCATATGCCTCATAAATTTATGTGGAATGTTGAACATGTACAGGACAAGAGATATGGAGATAAATATTTTTATGCTTGGAGATGAACATATTTTTTTCTAGGCCTTTAGTGTGGGTGTTAGCATTAATCTAGCCAGTAGTTACAGTGGGTTTGGAGTTTATTGTTGCTATGGTTACCTTCAGTGCACCAAACCTTCAAATTTCTCTAGAGATGTCTGGTATTTAGGGCATGGGCTATTTGCCAGAGGGTTTTTCTCAGTCTTTGTTCCCCAGAGAGAATCTGTCTCCTACAGTTTGTCCAGTTGTATCTATTGTTATTTTTCCTTGTTACATGTCATATAGTTTAAATTTTGGCAAACTGGTGTGTGGACAGTAGATACAGTGTTCTCTTATTTGTACTGTGAACACAGTTTCTTTGCAGGATAAACTTCAAAAGTGTTTCTCTCCCTCTTCCAGTAGTTGTGCAGGCCTGGCATATATTCCTTCCATTCCTCTAAAGGTAGGGTTGTCTGGGTTTTTTTTCCTGTTCCCTTTCCCCAGCTCAGTGAATTTCATCCAGTGCCCTAAATTGACAGTTTTGTTACTCTTCTTCCTCTACAGGCTTTTGTCAATAAAATAAATAGAGGACATTTGGCTTTGGCTGCTGTTTCCTTTCTCCAGCAAGAACCCTGAAGGAAGCTTTCCCTGGATTGACTCTGATTTTCCCTGTGGTTGGTTGGTAAGGTCATGGAGGAAAATGCTGAAAGACGGTACAAAGACCTTATGTCTGTAGCCCCAGGGGGCTTTATACCTTCATATTAGTCCATATTCAACTTTCAGAAATTCATTTAAAAATTTTTGCAAAATCTTTCTATTGGCTTTAGTGGCCTCCAAGGGTGTCCGCCCTAAGCAAGCGAAGATTCAGGTCTTGTTTCTCCCAAATTGGCACCTTTCTCTCCCCAGATTTCAAATTACAGTTGACCTTTCAGTAACATGGGTTTAGACTGCATGGGCCAACTTATGCACAAACTTTTTTCTATAAGTATATTGGAAGTTTTTGGAGATTTAAGACAATCTGAAAAAACAGGCAGACAAACAGCTTTAGCCTAAAATATCAGAAAAAACTAAGGAAAAGCTATGCCATGAATATGTAGAAAATATATAGATACTAGTCTATATTATCATTTACTACCATAAAATATATACAAATCTATCATAGAAGTTAAAATTTATTAAAACTTATATACACAAATATTTACAGAATGTACAGGTGCCATTTGCAGTCAAGAGAAATGCAAAAAACTGTAAAGATGCAGTATTAAACCATAACGGTATAATATTAACTATAATCCACACTACAACTCTGAAATAATTTCAAAGCCACCTCCTATTGCTATTGCAGCAAGCTCAAGTGTTGCAAATATCTGCTTAAAATGCCATGTGACCCTAGTCATCTCAGTATGAGCAGTTCATCTCTCCAGCATATTGCATATCACAGTAAAAGGTGATCCCTCCGGTTCTTACATATTTTTCATCATGTTTAGTGCAATATCAAAAACCTTAAATTGCGTCATGGAACCCATACAAAGTGCCACTACTGATGCTGGAAATGTTCCTAACAAGCAGAAAAAAGTCATGACATTATGAGAAAAAACTGAATTGCATGGTGTATATTATAAATCAAGGTCTGCAGCTGCAGTTGTCCACCATTTCAGACACGATTCATCTTGTAAAGAGATAACACAAACTTATGATATTGATAAATACAGTACAGTATTCTAAATGTATTTTCTCTTCCTTATGATTTTCTTAATAACATTTTCTTTTCTCTAAGGGTACAGTATATAATACATATAATACACAAAATAGTTGTTAATCGATTATGTTATTTGTAAAGCTTCTGGTCAACAGTAGGCTATTAGTTGTTAAGTTTTTGGAGAGTCAAAACTTATACATAGATTTTTTACTGCATGGTGGGGAGTTGGTGCCCCTCACACTCATGTTGTTCGAAAGTAAACTATAGTTGTTTGCCCTACAACCTGAGTTCTCTGATAAGTTTAATAAAAGTTGTTAATTTAAAGTTTGTCCAGCATTTTTTGTTGTTACTGAAGTGAGAGCACTATTCTATTATCATTATTATTATTATTATTATTATTATTATATTTTAAGTTCTGGGATAAATGCACAAAGCGTGCAGGTTTGTTACATAAGTATACACGTGCCATGGTGGTTTGCTGCACCCATTAACCTGTGATCTACCTTAGGTATTTCTCCTAATGCTATCCCTCTGCTAGCCCCCCATCCCCTAACAGGCCCCATTGTGTGATGTTCCCCTCCCTGTGTTTCCATGTGTTCTCACAGTTCGACTCCCAATTATGAGTGAGAACATGCGGTGTTTGGTTTTCTGTTCTTGTGTTAGTTTACTGAGAATGGTTTCCAGCTTCATCCATGTCCTTATAAAGAACATGAACTCATCCTTTTTTATGGCTGCATAGTATTCCATGGTGTGTATGTGCCACAGTTTCTTTATCCAGTCTATCACTGATGGACATTTGGGTTGGTTCCAAGTATTTGCTATTGTGAGCAGTGCTATAATAAACATACATGTGCATGTGTCTTTATAGTAGAATGATTTAAAATCCTTTGGGTATACACCCAGTAATGGGATAGCTGAGTTAAATGGTATTTCTAGTTCTAGATCCTTGAGGAATCACCACAGGGTTTCCACAATGGCTGAACTAATTTACACTCCCACCAACAGTGTAAAAGCATTCCTATTTCTCCACATCCTCTCCAGCATCTGTTGTTTCCTGACTTTTTAATGATTGCCATTCTAACTGGCCTGAGATGGTATCTCACTGTGGTTTTGATTTGCATTTCTCTAATGACCAGTGATGATGAGCTGTTTTTCATATGTTTGTTGGCTGCATAAATGTCTTCTTTTGAGAAGTACCTGTAGATACCCTTTGCCCACTTTTTGATGGGGTTGTTTTTTACTTGTAAACTTGTTAAGTTCCTTGTAGATTCTAGATATTAGCCCTTTGTCAGATGGATAGATTGCAAAAATTTTCTCCCATTCTGTAGGTTGCCTGTCCACTCTGATGGTAGTTTCTTTTGATGTGCAGAAGCCCTTTTATTTAATTAGATCCCATTTGTCAATTTTGCCTTTTGTTGCCATTGCTTTTGGTGTCTTAGTCGTGAAGTTTTGCCCATGCCTACATCCTGAATGGTACTGCCTAGATTTTCTTCTAGGGTTTTTATGGTTTTAGGTCTTACATTTAAGTCTTTAATCCATCTTGAGTTAATTTTTGTACAATGTCTAAGGAAGGGGTCCAGTTTCAGTTAGCTGGATATGGCTAGCCAGTTTTCCCAAAACAATTTTTTCCCCATTGCTTGTTTTTGTCACGTTTGTCAAAGAGCAGGTGGTTGTAGATGTGTCGTGCTATTTCTGAGGCCTTGGTTCTGTTCCATTGGTCTATATATCAGTTTTGGTACCACTACCATGCTGTTTGGGTTACTGTAGCCTTGTAGTATAGTTTGAAGTCAAGTAGTGTGATGCCTCCAGCTTTGTTCTTTTCGCTTAGGATTGTCTTGGCTATACAGGCTCTTTTTTGCTTCCATATGAAACTTAAAGTAGTTTTTTCTAATTCTGTGAAGAAAGTCAATGGTAGCTTGATGGGGATAGCATTGAATCTATAAATTACTTTGGGCAGTATGGCCATTTTCACACGATATTGATTCTTCTTATCCGTCAGCATGGAATGCTTTTCCATTTGTTTGTGTTCTCTCCTATTTCCTTGAGCAGTGGTTTGTAGTTCTGCTTGAAGAGGTCTTACACATCCCTTGTAAGTTGTATTCCTAGGTATTTTATTCTCTTTGTAGCAGTTGTGAATGAGAGTTCACTCATGACTTGGCTCTCTATTATTGGTGTATAGGAATGCTTGTGACTTTAGCACATTGATTTTGTATTCTGAGACTTTGCTTAAGTTGCTTATCAGCTTAAGGAGATTTTGGGCTGAGACGATGGGGTTTTCTAAATATAAAATCATGTCATCTGCTAACAGAGACAATATGACTTCCTCTCTTCCTATTTGAATACCCTTTATTTCTTTCTCTTGCCTGATTGCCCTGGCCAGAACTTCCAACACTATGTTGAATAGCAGTGGTGAGAGATGCCATCCTTGTCTTGTGCCAGTTTTCAAAGGGAATGCTTACAGCTTTTGCCCATTGAGTATATTGGCTGTGGGTTTGTTATAAATAGCTCTTATTATTGTAAGTTACGTTCCATCAATTCCTAGTTTATTGAGAGTTTTTAGCATGAAGGGGTGTTGAATTTTATCAAAGTCCTCTTCTGCATCGAAGGCCTTTTCTGCATCTATTGAGAAAATCATGTGGTTGTTCTCATTGATTCTGTTTATGTGATGGTTTACATTTATTGATTTGCATATGTTGAACCAGCCTTGCTTCCCAGGGATGAAGCCAACTTGATCATGGTGGATAAGCTTTGTGATGTGCTGCTGGATTCGGTTTACCAGTATTTTATTGAGGATTTTTGCATTGATGTTCATCAGGGATATTGGCCTGAAATTTTCTTTTTTTGTTGTGTCTCTGCCAGGTTTTGGTATCAGGATGACGCTGGCCTCATAAAATGAGTTAGGGAGGATTCCCTCTTTTTCTATTGTTTGAAATAGTTTCAGAAGGAATGGTACCATCTCCTCTTTGTACCCTGGGAGAATTCGGCTGTGAATCCGTCTGGTGCTGGGTTGTTTTTGGTTGGTAGGCTAATAATTACTGCCTCAATTTTAGAACTTGTAATTGGTCTGTTCAGGGATTGGACTTCTCCCTGGTTTAGTCTTGGGAGGGTATATGTGGTTAGGAATTTATCCATTTCTTCTAGGTTTTCTATTTTATTTGCATAGAAGTGTTTATAGTATTCTCTGCTGGTAGTTTGTATTTTTGTGAGATCAGTGGTGATATACAATTTATCATTTTTTATTGTGTCTATTTGATTCTTGTCTCTATTCTTCTTTATTAGTCTGACTAGCGGTCTATTTTGTTGATGTTTTCAAAAACCAGCTCCTAGATTCATTGATTTTTTTGATGGGTTTTTCATGTTTCTGTCTCCTTCAGTTCTGCTCTGATCTTAGTTATTTCTTGTCTTCTGCTAGCTTTTGAATATGTTTCCTCTTGCTTCTCTAGTTCTTTTTACTGTGATGTTAGGGTGTCAATTTTAGATCTTTCCCACTTTCTCCTGTGGGCATTTAGTGCTATAAATTTCCCTCTAAACACTACTTTAGCTGTGTCCCAGAGATTCTGCTATGTTGTGTCTTTGTTCTCATTGGTTTCAAATAACTTATTTATTTCTGCCTTAATTTCATTATTTACTGACTGGTAGTCAGGAGCACGTTGTTAAGTTTCCAAGTAGTTGTGCGGTTTTGATTGAGTTTCTTAATCCTGAGTTCTAATTTGATTGCACTGTGGTCTGAGAGACTGTTTGTTATGATATCTGTTCTTTTGCATTTGCTGAGGAGTGTTTTACTTCCAATTATGTGGTCAATTTTAGAATAAGTGCAGTGTGGTGCTGAGAAGAATGTATATTCTGTTGATTTGGGGTGGAGAGTTCTGTAGATGTCTATTAAGTCTGCATGGTCCAGAGCTGAGTTCAAGTCCTGAATATCCTTGTTAATTTTCTGTCTCATGGATCTGTCTAACATAGACAGTAGAGTGTTGAAGCCTCCCACTATTATTGTGTGGGGCCTAAGTCTTATTGTAGGTCTCTAAGAACTTGCTTTATGAATCTGGGTGCTCCTGTATTGGTTGCATATATATTTGGGATTGTTAGCTCTTCTTGTTGCATTGATTCCTTTACCATTATGTAATGCCCTTCTTTGTCTCTTTTGATCTTTGTTGGTTTAAAGTCTGTTTTATCAAAGACTAGGATTGCAACTCTTGCTTTTTCTTTTTTTCCACTTTCCATTTGCTTGGTAAATATTCCTCCATCCCTTTATTTTGAACCTATGTATATCTTAGCACCTGAGATGGGTTTCCTGAATACAGCACACTGATAGGTCTTTATTCTTTATCCAATTTGCCAGTCTGTGTCTTTTAATTGGGGCATTTAGCCCGTTTATATGTAAGGTTAATATTGTTATGTGTGAATTTGATCCTGTCTTTATGACGCTGGCTGTTTATTTTGCCTGTTAGTTGATGCAGTTTCTTCAGAGGGTGGATGATCCTTACAATTTGGTATGTTTTTGCAGTGGCTGGTACTGATTGTTCCTTTCCATGTTTAGTGCTTCCTTCAGGAGCACTTGTAAGGCAGGCCTGGTGGGGACAGCATCTTTCAGCATTTGCTTGTCTGTAAGTGATTTTATTTCTCCTTTGCTTATGAAGCTTAGTTTGGCTGGATATGAAATTCTGGGTTGAAAATTCTTTTCTTTAAGAATATTGCATATTGGTCCCCACTCTCTTCTGGCTTGTAGGATTTCTGCAGCGAGATCTGCTGTCAGTCTAATGGGCTTCCCTTTGTGGGTAACCTGACCTTTCTCCCTGGCTGCCCTTAATGTTTTTTCCTTCATTTTAACCTTGGTAAATCTGACAATTGTGTCGTGGGGATGCTCTTCTCGAGGAGTATCTTTGTGGTGTTCGCTGTATTTCCTGAATTTGAATGTTGGCCTTCCTTGCTAGATTGGGGAAGTTCTCCTGGATAATATCCTGAAGAGTGTTTTCCAGCTTGGTTCCATACTCTCCTTCACTTTTAGGTACACCAATCAAACATAGGTTTGGTCCTTTCACATAGTCCCATATTTCTTGGAGGCTTTGTTCATTCCTTTTCATTCTTTTTTCTCTAATCTTGTCTTCACGCTTTATTTCATTAAGCTGATCTTCAATCTCTGTTATCCTGTCTTACACTTGATCAGTTCAGCTATTGATACTTGTGTATGCTTCACGAAGTTCTCGTGTCGTGTTTTTCAGCTCCATCAGGTCATTTATATTCTTCTCTAAACTGGTTATTCTAGTAAGCAATTCTTCTAACCTTTTCTCAAGGTTCTTATCTTCCTTGCATTGGGTTGGAACATCCTCCTTTAGCTCAGAGGAGCTTGTTATTACTCACCTCCTGAAGCCTACTTCTGTCAATTTGTCAAACTCATTCTCCATCAAGTTTTGTTCCCTTGCTAGCGAGGTGTTGTGATCATGTGGAGAAGGAGAAGAAGAGCCATCCTGGTTTTTGGAATTTTCAGTCTTTTTGTCCTGGTTTCTCCCCATCTTCATGGATTTATCTACCTTTGGTCTTTGATGTTGGTGACATTCAGATGGGGTTTCTCAGTGGGTGTCTTTTTTGTTGATGTTGATGCTCTTCCTTTCTGTTTGTCAGTTTTCCTTCTAAGAGTCAGGGCCTTTTTCTCCAGGTCTGCTGGAGTTTGCTGGAGGTCCACTCCAGACCCTGTTTGCCTGGGTATCACCAGTGGTGGCTGCAGAACAGCGAAGATTGCTGCCTGGTCCTTCCTCTGGAAGCTTGTCCCAGAGGGGCACCCACCAGATGCCTGCCAGAGCTCTCCTGTATGAGGTGTCTGTTGGCCCCTGCTGGGAGGTGTCTCCAAGTCAGGAGGCATGGGGGTCAGGGACCCACTTGAGGAGGCAATCTGACCCTTAGCAGAGCTCGAACGCTGTGCTGGGAGATCCACTGCTTTCTTCAGAGTCAGCAGGCAGGGATGTTTATGTCTGCTGAAGCTGCACCCACAGCCACCCCTTCCCCCAGGTGCTCTCTCCCAGGGAGATGAGGGTTTTATCTGTAAGCCCCTGACTGGGGCTGCTGTCTTATTTTTTTCAGAGATGCCCTGCCCAGAGAGAAGCAATCTGGAGAGGCAGTCTGGCTACAGATGTTTTGCTGAGTTAAGGAGGGCTCCACCCAGTTTGAACTTCTTGGTGGCTTTGTTTACACTCTGAGGGGAAAACAGCCTACTCAAGCCTCAGAAAAATTGCAGACGCCACTTCCCTAAAGTGGGATCTATACTCTTTCCAGGTCTACATCTAGAAGGTGAAATCTAAACTACCTGTTGTTGTTTTTGATGAGAATTTTTAGCAGCTAAAATATCTTTATTTTCTATTTACTTTTTTCTTTTATACCATCTTTATATGAGGATGGATTCCAATGGTTGTTAATTTGAAATGTGTATTCTTTATGGAACAGAATTAACACATAAGCAGTTAGGTTAGCTTACTATATTTCTTAGGTTTAGAGCAACTTCTCATTTTGGCAAAGTACAGTTTTATTAATTGTACTTCATTTATGTGTGTGTGGAGGTGTTGATATGTGTTCTGATTTTGTAATTTTCTTTTGTTTCTGGAGGACCCTCTATTTTCAATGCTTGCTTCCTTGTTTCTCTTTACCACTTGGACTCCAAGAGTCATATCCTCCTTTATTTCAGAAATGGTATCCTCAAAAGACTGCTAATTCTAGTCTGGCATATTTTTAGGCTCCTTCGTTTTTTTTCTGAACAGTTTTATTTTGATATAGAATTAAGGAAAATTTACTTAAAAAATCTCTTCTATATCATTTACCCAAGTTCTCTAGTTCTTTATTTCCACAATTGCCTTATCATATTCTTTCTCTTTATATGCTATTATTTCACTTCTGAGCTATTTGAGAATAAGTTGCAGATATTTTGTCGTTTCATCTCTAAGTAAGTCAGAGAAGCAAGAGAAGACTCTCTCTGAAAAACTTTCAAAATCCTCAATCTAATCCTACTCTATGTATTAATATTGAGCAATGACCTTTCAACCCAATATCATTACACTAAAAGGAAGTTAGACACTATGATAAAAATCAGCAGAAACAGTAAACAGCTTTATACTTCCAATAAATGCAGACATTAGAATAGTAGGACCCAGAATATAGAAGACATGTGTATGTAATGATTAAAGAAATAAAGGATATTATCCCAAAGACCAAAAGATTATTAGATTTGCAAATTATGAATATGTAAAATTATAATCTGCAAAATTAACTTTAGAAACAAAAACTAATTATAGAAATTAAGAAAATTAATTTCACAAAAAGCAGAATATACATAGCTGAAGAGAAAATTAGTGAAAGAAGTTATATCTGAAAAAAATTACCCAGAATGCAGTACAGAAAAGCAAGGAGACAGAAACAAACATTATATTGAAATATATGAAAGCCAGGAACGGTGGTCATGCCTGTAATCCCAGCACTTTGGGAGGCTGAGGTTGAAGGATCATTTGAGCCCAAGAATTTGAGACCAGCCCAGGCAACATTCGAAAACCTGTGTCTACAAAAAGTATAAAAATTAGCTGGGTGTGGTGGCACACACCTGTAGTCCCAGCTACTCAGGAGGGAGTATCACTTGAGTCCAAGAGGCAGAGGTTACACCTCTGTGGTGGGATCACACCACTGCACTCCAGCCTGGGTGACAGAGCCAGACCCTGTCTCAAAAAAAGAAAAAAAAAAGTGAAAATCTTAATATGTCTAAAATACATTTGAGAATAGAATGGAACAGGGGCGATATTTAAAGAGAAAATAGCGGTAACTTTTCATAACAAATAAAAAATATAAATCTATAAATCAAAAAAACCCAATGTATTCCAAAATGAGACAAGCCAAGTATAAAGGGGTGCCCGGAGAATCTCCAACCGGCCTGCCCACTGGGAGGAATGCACACTGGGGTGGAGCCTCGGGAAGTTCGCACCATTTGCAGTGGGGAGGAGCCTGACCTCTTCTGTTTGGGAGTGGTAACCTGGGGTCCAATCTGTGAGACAGGAAGCCTGTTAGCAGGACTCTCGCTTTGCTGAGAGTCCTTGTTTCCCTTTTTTTCCTTTTCACCCAATAAACCCTGCTCTTCTCACCCTTCAAAGTGTCTGCGAGCCTAACATTTCATGGTCGTGTTATAAGAACCAGTTTTTCCTACAACAAAAGCAGGATAAGGAAAGAGATGTCCAACCTAAACCACTTCAATGAAATCATAAAACATCAAAGGTACGGATAAAATTGTAATAGAAGTCACAGAAAGGATGAATCACCACAAAAGAATGAAAATTGTGTGACTGAACACTTCCAACAATAAAATGGTAGCCTGGCAAACATTGTATAATATCATCATAGTGCTGGGGGAAAATAGTTCCCAATGCGGAATTATATATATGCAGATAAAACATCTTTCAATAATGTGGGTGTAATGGAGGCATTCAGAGATTAGCAAAAGATGAAAAAACATTCATATATAAACTAAAGGAACTTCCAAACTTTTAAAGCATACACTTTTTTTAACCTTACCTACAGCCGAAACACTTCATTTTTAAAAGTAAATTTTATCGTATATATTTAAGGTATACAACATGACGTTATGGAATGTACATAGATGGTAAACATGTTACTATAGTGAGGCAAGTTAACATATCCATCATCTCCCATATTTAACCATTTTTTTGGTGGCAAAAACAGCTAAAATTCTTAGCAGAAATCTCAAATACAATTTTATTAACTTTAGTCCTTATGCTGTGGATTAGATTTCAACTTTTTCTTCTATATATCTGCTACTTTGTATCCTCTGACCTACATCTCCCTGTTTTCTCCCCCAGGCTCTCCTGCCCCTGGTAACCACTGTTTTATTCTCTCAGTATATTTGACTTTTTAAAAAAAATTTCACATGTGAGACAATGCAATACTTTTCCTTCTGTGTCTAGCTTATTTCACTTAGCATAATGTCCTCCAGGTTCAGCTATGTTGTGGCAAATGACAGGATATCTTTCCTTTTTAAGGCTGCATAAAATTACATTGTATTTAAATACCTTGGTTTCTTTACCCATGCATCAGTCAACAGACACTTAGGCTGTTTCCATATCTTGGCTATTGTGAATATTGTCATGAACATGGGAGTGCAGATAACTTTATAGGGTGGTGATTTCATTTCCTTTGGGTATATACCTATAAGAGAAACTGCTGGGTTTCTATCTTAGTTCTATTTTTAATTTATTTAGGAACCTCCATACCCTATTAGTTTTCCATAATGACTGTACCAATCTACATTCTCACCAATAGTTTACAAAGATTCCATTTTCTCTATATACCTGCCAACATTTGTTATCTCTTTTTGATAACAGCCATCCTAATAGGTGTGAGATGATTTCTTTTTGATAACAGCCATCCTAATAGGTGTAAGATGATTTCTCATAGTGGTTTTGATTGGCATTTCCTTGATGATAAATGATGTTGAGCACCTTTTTACATACGTGTTGGCCATTTTTATGTGTTCTTTGGAGAAATGTGTATTCAGATCCTTCACTCATTTTTTAATGGAGTTATAAAGAGATAGAAAAAGATTAGTGATTTCCTAGGGATGAAGGAGTGGGGATGGAAATGAACTGCTAGTGGGTATGGGGTTTTTGGGGGGAGTGATGAAAATGTTCTAAATTTATTAAACGATTAAAAGAATTGTGTTGATGACTGCACAACTATGAATATATTAAAAAATCATTGAAGCTTATACTTTAAATTGCTGTTGTGAACTATACCCCAATAAACCTGTTTTTTAAAGAACAAAGTTTAAGCTCTCCAAAGTATAGCAGAAAATTTAGAACAAAATCTATCGTCACTTATCTCTCAGAGTTTCTAGTTTAACATTCTCTTTTGGAGTCTTTAGATTCCTTATTCTCATGCTTACCATCTCAGTGACATTTAAAATTAAAAAAAAAAACATGATATATTCAACGTTTTATTTATTTCAGTAAGAATCATTCAGGGCATCAAACCTTCCAAACTGCCTGTAATTAACCAGTACTTCTTGTTTAAATAATTTTCATACTGTGTTTATCTTTGCTACATATTTGCTCATCTAATTTTAAAAACCCTGTAATTATTTTTCTGTTTTATTGTTTATTAAATTTTAAGCTCTGGGATGTATGTGCAGAAAGTGCAGGTTTGTTACATAGGTAATCATGTGCCATGGTGGTTTGCTGCACCCATCAACCCATCATCTAGGTTTTAAGCCCGGCATGCATTAGGTATTTGTCCTAATGCTTTCCCTCTCCTTGCCCCCCATCCACCGAGAGACCCTACTATGTGATGTTCCCTTCCCTGTGTCCATGTGTTCTCACTGCTCAATTCCCCACTTATGAGTGAGAACATGCAGTGTTTGGTTTTCCGTTCCTGTGTTAGTTTGCTGAGAATGATGGTTTCCAGCTTCATCCATGTCCCTACAAAGGACATGAACTCATTCTTTTTTATGGCTGCATAGTATTCCACGGTGTATATGTGCCACATTTTCTTTATCCAGTCTATCACTGATGGACATTTGGGTTGGTTCCAAGTCTTTGCTATTGTGAATAGTGCTACAATAAACATACATGTGCATGTGTCTTTATAGTAGAATGATTTATAATCCTTTGGATATATATCCAGTAATGGGATTGCTGGGTCAAATGCTATTTCTGGTTCTAGATTCTTGAGGAATCGCCAGACTGTCTTCCACAATGGTTGAACTAATTTACACTCCCACCAACAGTGTAAAAGCATTCCTATTTCTCCACATCCTCTCCAGCATCTGTTGTTTCCTGACTTTTAATCATCGCCATTCTAATTGGTGTGAGATGGTATCTCATTGTGGTTTTGATTTGCATTTCTCTAATGACCAGTGATGATGAGCCTTTTTTCATATATTTGTTGGTTGCATGAATGTCTTCTTTTGAGAAGTGTCTGTTCATATTCTTTGCCTACTTTTTGATGGGGTTGTTTGATTTTTTTCTTGTAAATGTGTTTAAATTCCTTGTAGATTCTAGATATTAGCCCTTTGTCAGATGGATAGATTGCAAAAATTTTCTCCCATTCTGTGGGTTGCCTATTCACTCTGATGGCAGTTTCTTTTGCTTTGCAGAAGCTCTTTAGTTTAATTAGATCCCATTTGTCAATTTTGCCTTTTGTTGCCATTGCTTTTGTTGTTTTAGTCATGAAGTCTTTGCCCATGCCTATGTCCTGAATGGTATTGCCTAGGTTTTCTTCTAGGGTTTTTATGGTTTTAGGTCTTACGTTTAAGTCTTTAATCCACCTTGAGTTGATTTTTATATAAGGTATAAGGAAGGAGTCCAGTTCAGTTTTCTGCATATCACTAGCCAGTTTTCCCAGCACCATTTATTAAATAGGGAACCCTTTCCCCATTGCACATTTTTGTCAGGGAAAACCCTGTAATTATTTTTCTTGGGAACAAACTGAATTTACAAAGTAATATGTGGGAAATCAACGTCTTCATACCATTGAATTTAGTATGCATACATATGATATGTTTTTAATTTATTCAAGTTTTCTCTTGTATGTTCTGTATTAGAAATAATACTTCACATGTACATTAAGGCTTATTCCCATGTATTCTTGTGGGTGCTGTGATCTAAAATGGTTCTATTCATCCATTATATTTTGTTTGTTTTGTGTACAGAATTCTACTGTTACATGTAATAGTTTTCCTAATTCATTTTTGTTTTGTGTTGTCTAATTGCATCATAAGAAACTAAAATTTTGAATACTCTTTCTAAATTTTTAAATATCATATTTCATTTTCAAGTCTAATAATATTGGCTAGTATTTCCAGGAAAATATTAAATAAAAGCGGTAATTGTGGACACCCCTGTCCTGCTTCTGAGCAAAATTTTCACTATTAAGTATTTGATAGGATTTGGTTTAATGTCATATATATAGATATGTGTTGTATATGTATGTGTGTATGATTGCATATGTAACTGGTAGCACTGCAATTGAAAAATACACATTTGAAACCATAAATACATATTTGAAATCATTGAATAGGAAAAATCGATGTTTGCAGCAACAGCAGCAACCAGCTATAAGAACAATGCCATCAACAGTGCTAATCTTGAGTAAAACAGCTGATGATCCAGCAAATTATATATCATATATATATATATGAGAATCTTGGTAGAACCCTTAACAGAATGAACTTGAAGAAACCAAGCCTAGACATAAAGTAGTCAAATTGCTGAAAATAAAAGATACCCCGCAAAATTTTGAAAGCAATTGGAGAAAAGTGACACATTATATAAAGAGGAAGCAAAATTCAAGCTACTACAGATTCCTCATTCAGAAATTATGGAAGGCAGAAGATCATGTAAAGTGTTCATCACCTTAAAACCAAAACACACATGCCCACACAAAGTGTCACTTCAGGAATCTAAATCCAGGAAAAATGGCCTCCAAAAAAGGAAAGCAAAAAAAAAAAAGCAAAAGCAAAACAAAACAAAACTGAACTTCCAGATAAAGTAAGCTATGTGAATTCATTTCCACTAGGCCTACAAGAAAAATTAAATAATGTTCTTGTATCTTCAGGAACAAATGAAAATGATAAATAGCAAAGAAAATTCAAAAGACTGTTTTTCCTCTTAATTAAAAAAAGACATGATGATTTAAAGCAAAAATTATAACAATATATTTGGATGTACTATATGATAACCATAGCGTAAAGGACAGTAGGGGAAGAGAAATAGATCTACATGGTTACAAGATTTGCAAATTTTATGTGAAGTGTTACAATGTTAGCTCTAATAGGCTTTGAATAGTTAAGGAAGTATATTGTAATCCCTGGAGCAACCAATAAAAAATATGTGAAAATAAAATGCTTAGATTAATATTTAAATTAAAATGGAATTCTACTAGAAAATATTGAAATAACCTCCAAGAAGGCAAAAAGAGGAAAGAGGGAAAAATATGACGGGACCCACAAAACAAATAATAAAGTGGTAGGCCAAAATTCAATCTCATCAGTACTTACATTTAATATTAATAGATTGAACTCTGACTAGATAAAAGCACAAGACTCAACTATGGTTATTCCCAGTATCCGTTGATTCCAGGACTCCCCCTCCTATACCCAAATCCACAAATGCTTAAGTCTGTTATATAAAATGGCATAATATTTGCATATAATCTACATACATCCTCCTGTATACTTTAAATCATCTCTAGATTACTTATATGCAATACAGTGTGACACTATGCAAATAGTTGTGATACTGTATTGTTTCTTTTTATTTGTATTATTTTAAATTTTTGTATTTTTAATTTTTTTTCTCAGAACACTTTTGATCTTTGGTTTTGTTGAATCTTTGGGTGAAGAATCTGTGTATACAAAAGGTGGACTATGCTCTTTATAGGATATGTAATGGATGCCTAATAATAGATCCCCAAAATAAATAAAGCAAAAATGGGCAGAATTAAACTGAGAAGCGTGCACTTCTATAATCATATTAGGAAATTTAATAGCACTCTCTCAGCAATTGATAGCACTAGACAAGTATCAGTTCAATTACAGGGAATCTGGAAAACACCATCAACTACCCTGACCTATTTGTTTTTTAAAATACATAAAACAAAAATGAACAGAATTACAAAGGAAAATCCATTATAAGAGAAATGTTAACTCGCTTCTCTAAGAATTGAAATATCAGAACAAAAAATTAGCAACAATTTAAACCATACAAAATGAAAAACACAATTTCAAGTTTGACCTTTATGTAACAATTAGAAAATGTCGGCCGGGCGCGGTGGCTCACGCCTGTAATCCCAGCACTTTGGGAGGCTGAGGCGGGCGGATCACGAGGTCAGGAGATCGAGACCATCCTGGCTAACACGGTGAAACCCCGTCTCTACTAAAAATACAAAAAAAAATTAGCCGGGCATGGTAGCGGGCGCCTGTAGTCCCAGCTACTCGGGAGGCTGAGGCAGGAGAATGGCGTGAACCCGGGAGGCGGAGCTTGCAGTGAGCCAAGACAGCGCCACTGCAGTCCAGCCTGGGCGAAAGAGCGAGACTCCGTCTCAAAAAAAAAAAAAAAAAAAAGAAAATGTACATTCTTCCCAAGCACACTTAGAATGCTATGGTAATTGGCTCTGCACTGATTATAAAGCAAATCTCAGTAGATTTTGTAGAACTAGTTATGTCATATTCTCTGGCTACAATTTTAAAATCCATCATAAAAAACATGCTTAGAAATTGAGGTTGGGTGTGGTTGCTCACACCTATAATTTTAGCACTTTGTGAGGCCAAAGAGGGAGGATCACTTGAGGCCTCCAGAAGCTTAGGACCAGCCTGGGCAACATAGTAAGACCCATCTTTTATTAATAATAATAACACAAATAATAAAAATGAAAATGTTTAGAAATTAGAAAGCACATGTCTAAATAACTAATGGGTCAAAGGAGAATTATAATAGGAATTATAGAAAATATCTCAAACTAAATATTAATGAAAATTATATATGATTAATAATATTACATTTAAAGACTTATAGGATATATCTAAAGTGGTACTTAGAGAAAAGTTTTATTTTAGAAAATAAAAATGGCTAAAACAAAAGGGAAAAAAATAAACCCAAAGAATGTCAATAGATGACAATAAATGCCTCTATTATCAAAATCACTGGTGCTTATGTTATTGTGAGGCAACAGGAATATAATCTATTCCTGTTTTATATGTTATAAAAGACATCAAGGCTGATGTGTTGAACAACCTGTAAACAGAACTTTATTTCAACAGAAAAGCAGAATAATAGAAAACAATCCAAACTGATGAAATAAATATGGATATGGTAAAAAAAATAAAAGTATCAAATGTCCAGTCTAGCCAAAAGAACTAATAGAAACTGATATTTGAGAAGAACATAAGGAAGTAAGTAGAAAATTTATGACTAGCTCATATTATACTTTTACATATAAAAGGCATGAGTATTGGGGGTTAGCTGGGGGTGTGTGGACAGAACTTATCCCCTATCGTAGAAATAAATAGTTAATCCTGAGTGGTATGTATAGCTAATATCTACCCAAGGTTTCTGTAATGGCAATCTCTAAATAAAGCATCTCTAAGTAAGCATCTAAATGTAAAGTAATCTCTAAGTAAACCAGCTAAAGACTAAAACATTTACATCCTGGAAGAATGTTGCAATAATTTGATCATTTACTGATGGAGCATGTAACTATGGTACAAAAAAATGGCAGACAAACAGCATGAAATAATTCTAAGAATGCTTGTGATCTATGGGTCACCCATTACAGAAAACATACCACTACTTTCCAAATGTGACATGATAACGAACGCTCAGAAACTGTAACATAGAATATGTTTGATCAACTGTTAGTTTCTGACATATCTATTATTACAAATAATCAATGATATGAGGTAAACATAGAACTCAGATCATCACCAATATTATCAAATAATTTAGTCATCTGAATTATATATATTTATACATTTGAATTGCTTATTCTTCCCCATTAGGTATACAGATCCAATATAAATCCTCAATTAAGATTAAAATCCTCATTTAGGATTAAAATGCTCTTCTCAATGTGGAAGGCAATAAGAAAAGTAAAACCTAAAATTAAAACCACAGTCTTCATAACTTACTGGAATCAAATGGCAGAAATGGAAACAAGTGGGAGAATCTAGAAAACAACAGACTATAAAGTAGTATAGGAATTAACTCTGAAAGTCACATCTAAATAGTGCCATTCTCTCACTGGCTCCTCAGCCCTTAAAAGTGACAAAATTTCCTATATTATCTCCTCTGCCCCAGATATATCAACCATCCATTATCCAATTTTTGGTTGGGACAGTACATAACTACAGCTTACAAAACAGGGATGTGGGTTGGTAGGAAGAAGGGAAGTATGGAAAGTTTGGGGTACAATGTTGGGATCTGTAGGTGGTATAAAAGGGATGTTTAGAACCAGAAGCTATGTCCTATTACTTTTTTCTACCAAACGCATTAATACCATCTCTCTTACTTCAAGTCAAGGCACTGAATTGCCAGTGTTTATTCCTTTTGAAAGCATACATCTTACCATGTGGAATTGTGGTCTGGAAAGGGCGACTTGGGCTTTTCAGGTTCCATAAAGTCAAACTACCATCTGAATGGCTGCACATGAACTGTTTGCCCTCATGATGCCAATCAATTGAATGAATAGCCTAATAAAATAACAATTAAAACAAGTAGAGGGGGAAAAAAGTAGATAGGTTATATCATTCTATATTCCAAAGAAAAACTATTCTGATATAAAATTATTATACTAACAACACTTAAAAAACATAATTTTTCTGACCCATATCAGACTATAATTTCTGGTAAGATGAAGTCCTATTTCCTCCTCACATAGCCAATTAAAAGAATAATTTAAGTAAGAGCTACCATCTGAAGGCTTTCTATGTGCCAAACCCCAAGGCAAGCATTTTATACACATTATTTCATTTAATCCTATAAAAAGTGTATTGATTTTTCAATTTACACATGGTGAAACAGGCCTTGAGAGATTGAGATACTTGCTCAAGTCACAGAACTCAAAACCAAGGTCTAACTACGAAAAACGTTCTCAATCATTGCACTGTATTGCCCTCTTGCATATACTATTTAAATCAATTTAAAGCAAGAAAGGTTTAAATTTTCTTTTATATTTTCAGGTTAACTCTGTAGTTTTGAGTCAGATAAGATTCAAAAGTAATTACAGCCATCCCTCGGTATCCACTGGGGATTAGTTAGAGAACTCCCACACTCCCTCAGATTCTAAAATCCACAGATGCTCAAGTCCCTTATATAAAACAGCATACTATTTGCATACAACCTATGAATATCCTCCCATATACTTAAAATCATCCCTAGATTACTAATAGAATGTAAATGATATGTAAGTAGTTATACTATACTGTCTTTTTATTTGTATTATTATAAATTATTATATTGTTTTAAAATTATTTTTTGTTTTTAAAATATTTCCTATTATAGTTAGTTGAATCCAAGGATATGGAATTTATGGATACGGAGGGCTGACTGTATTTCATTTTCCCAAGCTATTGTATTCCCAATGCTAGCATAGTGACCAGCATAAAGTAAGTACTCAATAAATATCTGTTGACTGAATTAGTAATTAATGTCATATGCATTTCCACACCCTTGGTATTCTTTCTAAATTAATAAAGTACATACAGAACTTGGGTAAAGTACTAAGTACTATAAGAAAAATTCTAGTAGACATAAAGGCAGAAAAGAAGCATACAACATCTTTTCCTTAAAGACACTTATAAAACAGCAAGAGAGAGAAGATTAATATAAGTGAATACTAATCATATTTATTTTTTGAAACTTCACACACAGACACATACAACTAAAATTTCCAAACTAAGTTACACATACATAACTGATAAAAGTTCTAAACAATCAGTATTATTAGAGTTGCAGATAACTGATGGCTAAAGTAATTATTACACATATAATCAAGAAAATAAGATTTGATTAAGTGGAAAAAGCAACATGAAATCCTGGACTTGTGTTTTCTCTCACTCTGTGGCCTTCATTACTAAGCAGAGATTTCTTTTTTGCTAGGGTCCAGCAGAGGAAGTTAGAGATAAAATACTTTTTTTCTCTTCTCCTCTGCTTATTTCTTCTCCCTTCTGTAGGTGGTTCAAGGGAAAGTCACATCTTCTTGCCTCCCCTACATGTTAACTTTGATGAGCCTCATTTAACTTAAAGTTGTCTCAAACTGTTTTGCCATCAAAGATGGAGGCAGAAAAGGCACTCTCAACCCTAAACTTTCTTATTTCACTGAATTTCTATCTACTGGAGAGGACAGATATAAAAACAATAGCTAAATAAAGCCAAAGTAAGTCAGTACTATTAAAGAAGTATATTTATTGTTTAGAAAAGCAAGCATGTAAAACCAACTTGTTATTAGAGATCAGGGTCTCATATAGTGCATTACTGAGTAGCTAGCATTTGATCTAACTTGATGGATAAATATTCAATTTCTATTTATTAGATTCTACCCCTCTCTTTTCTCAAAAAAAGGGAGGGGGGCTCAGAGGGCTTACTGAAAAAAACAAATATAATACAACTAATCCAAAAAGAATTTTAAGAGATAGAAAACAGAATTTTAAACATAAAATACTAGCTAGTTTTATCAACTCAGTGGCTGAGACTGAGTTTCTTGAACACATGAAAGAAGAAGGAAATCCAAAAAACTGGATAACAATATCCATTCATCAATGGCTATTTATGAAGAGGCTAGTTAAATTGTCTAAATAGTTTTACAGGGGCTAAAGACCTAACAGAATTTTGATATACAGAAGAGGAAAGAAGGCAGTTCATGATGAGAAGTTAGAAGGAGCAAAGGCTCAGAGATAAGCAATAAGTGTTATATATGGAAGATAGTGAGTAATATGTCTGAAATGTGGGGAATGTGTAGAAGGATGTTGTAAATTTAACTAAAGAGGAATGATAGCACTAGGACCTTAAATCTCAAGTCAAGCAATATGGACTGTGTATTGTCGACAATTGAGAGCTATTCAAAGGTTCTGTTGTAGAGAATTCCATAATCTGTTTTAAAATGATAATCTTGTTAATGAAGGATATATTGAAGAGGTAAGACATCAAAGGAAAAGTGGTTGTGATTAGTTAAAATGCTCTTATAGTCATCCAGGCAAAAGATAACAACTTAAACTAGGACATTGGAAGTGGGAATTAGAAAAGAGGAAATAAATGAGACAATATAAAATCAGAATCAGAAAGCCTGCAGAAATTGATTGCATATACAACACGATGATGGAAGAGACAAATATTACTTTGAGGGGTCTAAACTGAATTAACTAAACAAGACTTAAAAACCAGAAGAAAACATAGAAGGAGGTTTAGATATTTAAATACAAATTCAGTGCCAATGGGATATTTTGCTGGATTTATCTAATATATTGTTAGATATTTAGATCTAGAGTTCAAGAGGGAGGTAAAGGCTACAGATATATGGATGTTCTTTTTTTAGCATAAAGGTAATATTTGAAATAAGAGATAATATAAACACTAGAAAGTATAAATTAGAGAGAGAAGAAATGAGGGTAAAGACATAATATCCTGAAGAATATCAATAACGTAAAGGAGAGCTAAGGGAAAAATCAGTTATGGAAAAAGGTGCATGATAAATGAGGTGGAAAGACACAGACAAGTGAATAAATTATTTTAAGGAGGAGAAACTGAGGTAAAGCCACAGGTTTAGTGAGGAATTTAAAGGCTTGGAAGAGGTCACTGTGTGTAGTAATGAAGAGCTTATTGGTGACTTAAGAAAAAACATTTCAGGTAAGTATTAAGCATGCTTTCTAGATATGAGAGGTAAAGTGCTGAGGAGAGGCTGAAAAGTTTGGTAGTGAAATGAAGTATTTAACTATCTCTGTTAAAACAATAGAGCATATAATGACACATTAAAGTAGATAAAGATGATATATTTACATACATATATCAGATGTCAATAACTTCTAGGTATAAATTACATATATTTGTACTAAGGCAGCTGCAAATCCTTATTTTAAAATTTCACTGAAATTTTACTCTCTTTTTAAGGCTCAAAACGTTTCTTCCATACTTTTTAAGGCCATAGGAAAGCTAGATGATTCAGCATTTTCCTCTGGGTTTTCTTTTGAGCTGGTTATTCTAATTCCAACTGGCTAAATATTCCCATGGTGTTTGTATTCTTATTTAGCTGCTAGTGTTGAGAGAGGGAAGAGAAGGAGCACTATCCATCCCCATCTTTATGATTTGTATAACAAAAGGAAACTCCTAGCTTAGCTCCCTAAGACCTTCTTTTCTTATGATTCAAGATGCTGAAGAATTTGATTATAAAGAACATAACTGCATGATATTACTTATCAGATTATTTTTCACCAATTGTGAAAAAATTACCCAGCTGCCATTTTATTTTATTTCTAAACATTTTTTTACCACTATGAGAATGACTGATAACGAATTGTGCAGCTTATGAAATAGGTGAAGGCTTATATCTTTAAGCACCGAAACTTAAAAAATTAACTGTTATGAGGGGGATGGGAGAGAACATGTAAAGTATTCTAGGGTGACTACAGGTTCATCTGGAGACTTTTTTTATCCCTCCAATGATAAAATAAGGAAGTGTTCTAAAATAAATGTGTGTGTGTTTCATTTTCTAATTATTTCAGTGCTGCTTTAAATTATTTGGCACTTTTCCTATATAAGATTAGGTTTTACTGGACATAAATTTTTGACATATATTTTCCTCCTATCTCTTCCTACTCCCACCATTTTCAAATTGAATTAATAGCACAGATGATCACCTTTGTTTCCACAGGTACAAAAGGTAATTTCCCTTTTAATCTGTTGCCCCCAGTTTTACGGTCTTCTTATTAGCCTCTTCTGAATGGAAAAATAATTAATGGCCCGGAATTAATATTTGAACAACTGAAGTGTCAACTGGGAGATTATTCCTTGATGAATAGGAGTTTGTTGCTTCCCCTAAATACAAACTTAATCAAGTCTCAATTACATACAATAAAACTTACTTCAAGATCTGGTCATTTAATAAGTGTCACTTATTAATATCTGGTCACTTAATAAGTATTACTATTTACAAAATTTTTCTTTATTCTAAGAAGGCAAGTATTAGAAGACAAGACCTTTCAAACTGACTTGAACTTCTTGCCACTGAAAAGGAATTTTCTAAGGAAGGTGTGAATAGTGTCTTTAGAGACCTTAAGGACAATGAGGCACAACGTAGCATGGAGCCTACAGAAAGGAAAAGCAGTTGAGACAAAGTTGGGGATATAGTACAGGTGACAGGCACCCAAGTATATAAGATTGACAAGGCAGGATCTATTAACAAATGCAAAGTATATAAGATGCCACAAGAGGGCCCCGAAATAGGCAGTCAAGGCAGAATTTCCTCTTAAAAGAAAAATCTAGAGATGGAACTTACACAAATACTAAAAGACAGTGTGAAGCACTGGGTCAGAATCAGGCAACTTTCCAAGGCTAAACATACTGGTAAAGTGCAAAGCTTAAAAGTAGTAAACAGGCATAACGTCACAATACTCTTTCAAACATGTCGGTAGAAATCACTTACCTCATCATAATAAACTCTCAGTTCTGCTCTTTTAGATTTCAAGTCCCAGAATACTACAGTACCATTTTCATAACCTATTAGCAGCTGGAAAACATTAGAACAATCATTTTCTTAATTCTAACATTAATTTTAACTTGCTTCAAATAAAGTTTAATGTTAATAAAGTAAAATCATACCACATAACATCCTTATTTAGAATAAATTTTTCTAGAACTTGAATATAGGTTTTCTACATTTAAAAAATGGCAAACTCTGCTTCAATATGAACACTTACCAATAAATCACCTAATTTCAAAGAGGAAATAAGGAAGAATATAAATATATATGACATGATATAAAATAAGTATGAAAATTGGAAGAAAAGAAAAATGGGATAGAAAACGAAGATGAAATAAAACATGAAATGGGATAAGATTAATGAACTATGTATATGCCATTCAGTCCTATGCACTTGAGAAATGTGGCTTCAAATTTGGCTTCAAATTTCTTCTACCAAATCCTATTTTCTCTTTGACCGAATTCAATATTTTAAACTGATGTTTTATGAACCCTCTGAAGATTATAAAGTTATTCTAGAGATTCACGTCATTAAAAAGATTAATATTTATTTTTAAATCAATAAATAAGATGATTAATAAAATATTTCTTTAAAATAGAAGAATTTTAGAACATATCATGATTATAATATGATCATCTTTAAGACTCAGTCATTAAGCTAAACAATGCTAGCCATACTGATAACTTTTGCTGTTAAATGATTCACAATTATTATTTGTATCCTTCCTATTTTTTTGTTACCAATGACAGAAAATTTAACCTATCATTGGTTAGGGAAAAAAAATAAGAGGAAGGATAAAAATAGCCAATGTTAAAATAATGATATATTTCTGACAGATTTGCCTTAAGATGATTTTCTTCAAATACATTAGTAGTATTCCTCTGATGAAAATTCTTATACACTGGATAAAGATGTATCAATAACTTCAAAAAACCATTGGTAAGAACAGAAAATATAGTGGTGGTGATAACCTAAGCCTGCAGAGCATCCTGAGACCTTATCACTTATCTCGACATCTTACAATGAGACACAAAAAATAACAAAAGTAAACCAGCTAGTAGTTTTCGCAGTAAAAACACAAAAGGTTTCAAATATCAGTTCATTAAAGCAATATACATTTATTTTTGAAGCTATAACAAAAATGCTTGGTTATTAAACCACACACAATAAATGTTAAAAATGACAAAAAATTGAGCTTTTTACATGTTAACTTGAAGTAAATGGCATATATGACTTGCTAAGTGAAAATGTCAAAACTAAATACATATTTGAGTAATATTTCTTAAAATAAAATTGATATGACTGTACTAAGTGTACTAAGATATGTTTTAACTTCAAATTGATTTTTTTTACATACAAGAGAAAATGATGAACGATGAAACCAATTTCTTTTCTTTCTTTTTTTTTTTGAGACAGAGGACAGAGTCTTACTCTGCCACCCAGGGTGGAGTGCAGTGGCACAATCTCTGCTCACTGCAACCTCCGCCTCCTGGGTTCAAGAGATTCTGTGCCTCAGCCTCCTGAATAGCTGGGATTACAGGCATCTGCCACCACACCTGGCTAATTTTTGTATTTTTAGTAGAGATGGGGTTTCACCACGTTGGCCAGGCTGGTTTCGAACTCCTGACCTCAAGTGATCTGCCCCTCTTGGCCTCCCAAAGTGCTAGGATTACAGGCATGAGTCACCATGCCCAGCCAATAAAACCAACTTTATTGAGTGTATGAGACTCTTGGCAAGGAGATATTGGCAAGGAGATTCATTAGCCTAAAAAGTTTAGAAAATATAACTTAAGCAATAAAATGAATAATATAATCTTTCTAAATTTGAGCCCCAAGATTTAATAAAATAATATCCTAAAACACTATTATATTTTATTAAAGTAAATATCTGAAAGATAAAAGTTGATTTGCTTATAAAACATTGCTAGCAATAGCCCCAGTAAATCACAAAATATAACATACTGAACCTCAAAAACACCATAAACTGTTGAGATAAGTATACAAGATTATGATTTAGAAAACATGATATTAGAATCAGTTAGAGAATTAGAAAAGAGAAAAGAATCCCCCTGACATCCAGGAGACATTAGACAAGGCCACTCTGTGACCATGAGGAACCAAGACAAAAATAAGAGCACTCTGCAATATTTGACCACACCAAAACAGGAACAATGCCCAAACCACAAATTATATATACATATTTTTTAAACAGAAAATGTCTCTCACAATAGAAGCAAGTACCATAAAGGCAAAGAAGTAGGGTTACTTCTTCACCATGATATCATTAGAACCTACACTAGTGTCTGAAAAAAATAGGTATTTGGTGAATAACAAATTAATTGTTAAATACCAAAAAATCAAAATTGTAGATATTATATTCTAACCACAGTAAAATAAAATTAGAAGTCATGACAAAAATATTTTGAAAACTAAAAAATATATCTGTAGGTAATTAATAAGCAAAGAAGAAATCATAATGAAATATATAAAACAGAACTGAACAAAAATGCCTCACAAGACACAGATGAATCTTAAGAGGAAATTTTATGGTTTTGTAAATATGTACGTAGAGAAGAAAAACTGAAAATGTTTTAATGATATAAGCATTTGACTTTGAAAAGTAAAGAAAAAAGTAAATCTCAGAAAGCAGAATTAAAAATAATGAGCCACCTTATTCAAGAGCAAAGGATACCACCTTTTATTTATTCGAGTATATGTTTATATCTTTTAGGAAGTTTGAAAGTTTTCCACATATTGATTTTCTTGTTAATTTTATACCTAGTTATTTTAACTTTCTTATTGCTATTTTATATGGGTTCTTCTCTTCATTACCTTTTCTAATAGGGTATTAATTCTATAGTTAGATTTTAGTATACACCTTTCTAAATTATTTTGTTTGTATTCATTTTAAGGTTGATTCTCTTTGCCATTCCAGATATATTATCATATAATCTAAAATAGAGACTACTTTATTTTTTTCTAATTTTTATGTCTCTAATTGTTTGTATTTATCTAACTGCTTTGCTAAAAATCATCCTAGAGTATTAAAAATAGTAGAGAGGCTAAGCATCCTTGCCTTCTTCCTGACTTTGGTGGCTATGCCTCTAGTGTTTCCCCATTAAATAAGATCCTGAATTCTGGGGAGGGAGGGAGAGGGCATAGAAAGAGAGAGAGAGAGATTTAAAGAAGTATAAATTGATTTATATGTTATACATTTCTTTTATTAGGAATAGGTGTTTAATTTTAAAATAAATATTTTTGTTGAAATATATATAATGTACACAGATTATAGATGTATATTTAATGAATTATGATGAAGTAAACATACCCATGAAACTACAATCCACGTTAAAAAACACAATAGAAGACAAGTAATACAAGAAAAACAATACAAGCCATTCACAGAAGCCTATTTCGTACTCTTACCTAGTTAATATTCCCACTCTCCTCTCTAAAAATAACCACTATCCTGACTTCTAACACCATAGGCTACTGTTACCTGTTTCGAATTAGACAGGTAGAATTATACAATACATATTGCTCTCTTTCTTGCTTCTATTTCTATTATATTTGTAGCATTAGTTAATTTAATTTCATTATTAAAATAGCATTTCATTGTTTGGCTATGGCACTACCACAAATTAATTTATTCATTTTACAGTTGATGTAATAATACTGCCATGAACAACCTTGTACATATCTTTTGGTAAATACATATATGCATTTCTGTTAAATGTATATTGATCCATAGGATATTAGTATGTTTAACTTTAATAGATACTGCCAAGCAGTTTTCCAAAGTGGTTATACCAACCACTTCATGTTTTCATTTTCACAAAATGTATATGAGTTCCATTTCCTTCTCATCTAATGACCAATATTGTGAATAGCTGTACAATGTTAAATTAAAGGAATAAATCATAGCCATCTTTGTCTCATTTATCATTTCAGGAGGAAAAATATTAATTCATCATTAAGGAGGATGTTTTCATAGCTTTGGGAAAATTAACAAAGTTCATATTAATGAAATTCCTTTCTTTCCCTAGTGTACCAAGAGATTTTTATAATGAAGAGAAGGTAAATTTTATTAAATGCTGCTTATTAGCTATTTTTATTGCCATATATTTTTCTCCTTATTTCTGTGAATTGCATTGACTGATTCTGAAAAGTTAAACCAACTGTACTACTAGGGGGAGCATAAATTGGTTGTGATTTTTTGTGCCTTCTCTTTCATTCTTGATCAGACTTGCCAGAGATGCATCAATTTTGTTAGTATTTTCAAATAACTGTTTTGTTAATGTACTAAATTTTTGTTTTCTATTCTTTTAATTTCCGCTCTCATCTTTTGAATTAAGGTTCTCCGAAAAATTAGAACCAAGAGATGTTTTTCTATGTATAGAAAAAGATATTTATTATGAGGAATTGGCTCACGTGATTATGAAGGCTGACAAGTCCCAAGATCTGCAGGGTGAGCTGGCAAGCAGGAGATCCAGGAGAGCTGATGGTGTGCCAGTCTGAGTCTGAAGACCTGAGAACCAGGAGAACCAATGGTATAGTTCCAGTCTGAAGGTCAGCAGGCTCAAGAACCAGGAAGAGCCGATGTTTCAGTTAGAGTCCAAAGGCAGGAAAAAGCTGATGTCTCAGTTCAAAAGCAGTCAGGCAGGAAGAATTCTCTCTTACTTGAAAAAGGGTTAGCCTTTTTGTTCTATTCAGGCCTTCAGCTGATTGATGAGACCCACTCGCATTAGGAATGGCAACCTGCTTCACTCAGTCTACAGATTTAAATATTCATCTCAACCAAAACATCCTCACCTAAACCTTTAGAATGATGTTTGACCAATATTTGGTTACCTCAAGGCCCAGTCAAGTTGACACATAAAATTAACCATTATATCTTTATTGTTATCTTTCTACTACTTTCTTTGGGTTTAATTCACTGTTTATCTAGCTTACTGGGTTGGATACTAAGATCACTGATTTTCAGCTTTTCTTCACTTTTTAAGAAATGTAATATAAACTATAAATTTTCCTGGAGGCACAGCTTTAGCTACATTGCACAAGTTTTTGATATGTCACATTGTTATTGCAATTTTGTTTAAAATATATTCTAATTTTTATACTGATTTCTTCTATGACATAGAAGCTATTCAGAAGTGTAGTACTTAATGACTAAACAATTAGGGGATTTTTCATTTATCTTTTTCTTATTGATAATCTTGCTAAATTCTCTTGTGGTTAGAGAACATATTGTGTATTATTTTAATCCTCTGAAATTTATTGGCATGTTTTTTGGTTCAGCAAATATACAACTTTGGCAAATACTCTATAAGCACTTGAAAATAATGTGTGGTCTGCTAGTACTATATACATAATGTATTATATGTGTCAACTTGGTTAAGTTGTTAATCATGTGGTTTTAATTTTCTTTATCCACACTAATTATTTCTTTGTTTGTTTGTTTTCTCAGTGACTGGAAGAGGTTTGTTAAAATCTCCAACTACAATTGTAGATTTGAGTATTTTTCATTTTAGTTCTGTCCAATTTTAAAAATATTTTTAGTTCTATCAAATTATACATACACACACATCATGATTCCATGCAAAATGAAAACACAATTCAGATAAGCACATGTTTTAGTTAACGTGGTACCATGCAAAGTAAGCACTACCTGTATACTATAAATCTATGTCATCATTAGGCATATACAAATTTAGGATTATTACATCTTCTGCTGAATTAACCAATTTCTATTATAAAATATTATCCTTAAAAAAGTTTTTGCCTTAAAGTCTGTATCCTCTGATATTAGTATAGTTACACAAGTTTTCTTTGGTTATGGTTTACATACTATATCCTTTTGCAGTTTTGCGTTAAACTTTTCTACATCTGTAAGTTTAAAATGTATCTCTTGTAACAGCATATTGTTGTTTTAGCAGTTTGCAAATTATTGTCTGGTAATTAGCCTATTTAGTCAGTTTACATTTAATATAATTGCTGACATATTTTAGAACAAAGCTACCTACTTATCTTGTATTTGTCCCATTTGTTAATGTGTCCTCCCTCTTTTTGGGAAGGGAGTTGGTTAGTAGTTTTTTCTTATCCTAATTTTCCACTCTATTAACTTATCCATTATACATACATTTATTATATTTTACCCACCAGAATAAAAATTTTTCATGACTTATCAAATTATAATGTAAATTAGTACTTGTGCTACTTTCTGGAAATTATAAGGACTGTATTAGTCAGGGTTCTCCAGAGAAACAGAATCAATAGGATATATATCTGTATAGCTATATAAGAAGGAATTTATTATGCAAATTGGTTCATGTAATTATGCAGGATTAGAAGTTCCACAATATGCTCTCTATAAGCTGACTAAGTAGGAAAACTGGGATTGTAATTTAGTCTGTGTTTGAAGGCCTGAGAACCAGAGAAGTGGGAGAGGCCTGGGAAAGAAAAGTCTGAAGTCCTGAGAACCTTGAGCTGATATTCAAAAGCAGGAAAGGATAGATGTCCCAGTTCCAGTAGAGAGAGCAAATTCACCTTTCGTCTTTTTTGTTCTATCCTAAGCTCAATAAACTGGATAATGTCTACTCACATTGGTGAGGGCAGATATTCTTCACTCAGCCTACTAATTCAAATGGTCATTTATTCTGGAAACACTTTCACAGACATACTAAAAATAATGTTTTACCAACTCTCTGAGTATTCCTTAATCCAGTCAGTTTGGTGTGTAAAATTAACCATCATAAAGACATTGGCAATTAAATTTAGTGAACGTCATCCCAACTTGTATCATAATTCTCAATATATTACACTGCAAGAAGTCATTATTATTTTTATAAAATATTTCCTTAGTTTAACACGTTTGTGGTTCTTTATTCTTTTCTTCATCTCTGTTCTTATATAATAGATCATTTTCATTTGCTTAAACAAGTCTTTTAGGTTTTTCCTTAGTAAGATTTGATGTTGATGAATTGTTGCAAATTTTGTTTGCTGAAAATAATTTGATGACATGTTTTAAATTATATTTTTGTAGAGTATAGAATTCTCCCAGTGGAAGGACTGATCTGATTATCAAAACTGGAAATACAATGGGTGCTAAATTTTATTCAAAGACTTTTTCAGCATCATAAAGATAATCATTTGTTCTTAGACCTATTAGCGATATAAATTATATTGATGGATTTTGTAATAGTATCTATCCTTGCATCCCTGGAGTAAAACACCACTAGTCATAATTAATTATTTTTTAATGTGCTGGTGGGATTCTGTCTCCTAATATTTTATTTAAGATTTTTCCATTAATATTTTATTTTATTGTAGTAAGAACACTGAACATGAGATCTACCCTATTAACAAATTTATAAATATATAGTACATTACTGGTGACTCTAGATACAATGTTGCACAGCAGATTTCTAAAGTTTATACATCAATCAAGCTTGCTTGACTGAAACTTTAAGTTCATTGATTAGTATCTCTGCATTTCAACCTCCCCCAGCCCATCAGCCACCATTACACTCTTTGATTCTATATATATGACTATTTTAGATACCTGATATAAGTTGAATAGTGAAGAATCTGTCTTTCTATGACTGGTCATTTCACTTCACATAATATCCTCCAGGTTTATCCATGTTGTCACATACTGTAAAATTTCCTTATTTATTAAGGCTGAAAAGTATTCCATTGTAGAAATACCACGTGTATTATAGGTACACGAAGGGATACTCTTCCACCCTAATAAGGGCTGGGTAACCACATGTTGTTTATTCATCTGCCAATGGCCATTTAGGCCATTTCCACATATTGGCTATTGCCAAAAATATTATGATTTATTTCTCTTTGAGATCTTGATTTCAATTCTCTTGTATAAATATCCAGAAATGGGACTGCTGTATTATATAGGTAGTTCTATTTTTAATTTTTTGAGGAACCTCCACACTGCTTTCCATAGTGGTTGAACCATTTTGCAGTCCCACCATACAAGTGTTCCAATATCTTCACATCCTTGTCAAAAGGTGTCTTTCGGTTTAAAATACATACACATAATAATGATCCTAGTATCTATTCTTGGTTTTGATTTGCGTTTCTCTAATGATTAGTAACATTAAGCACTTTTCCATATACCTGATCTTAGGCATTCTTTGTGTGTGTGGTTACCTTAGGACTTATATAAAATCTAATGCTCTGTTTTAAGCTGATAACACCTTAAGTTCAATAGTATACCAAAACTCTACACTTAAAACTTCTCTTCCCCTGACACATGCTTTATAGTATAGACATTGGAGAAATGTCTATTTAAGACTTAAGCCCATTTTAAAATCGGGTTACTAGATTTTTTTTTTTTTTTTTTTACTATTGAGTTGTATGAGTTTCTTATGTATTTTGCAGATTAACGCTTTACAGATACATGGCTTGCAAAAATTTTCTCCTATTCTCTACATTGTGTTTTCACGCTGCTGATTGTTTCTTTTGCTATGCAGAAGCTTTTTAGTTTGACCTTGTCCTACATGTTTATTTTTGTTTTCATTGTAGTTACTTTCAGTGTTAAGTTTATAGAGCCATGACATTGTCAAAACCAGCGTCATGAAGCTTTTCTTCTACGTTTTTTCTACATATTTCAGAGTTTAAGGTCCTATGTTTATTTCAGAGTTTAAGGTCTTATGTTTAAGTCTTTAATCCATTTTGAATTGATGTTTTTAGTAAGATGTATGAAAAAGGTCTAATTACATTCTTATACATGTGGATATCCAGTTTTCTCAATACCACTTGTTTAAAATATTATCCTTTCTACACTGTGTATTCTTGGCACCCTTGTCAAAGATCAGTTGACCACATATGTATGGATTATTTCTGGGCTCTCTATTCTGTTCCATTGGTCTATATGTCTGTTTTTATGCAATTGTCATACTACATTAATTATTGTAGCCTTGTAATTTAGCTTAAAATCAGAAAGTGTTATTATTATGTGTTGAATCATCCTTGCACTTCAGAGATAGATCCCACTTGATCATGATGCATGATTATTTTAACGTGCTCTTGGATTCAGTTTGCCAGTATTTTGTTGAGGATTTTTGCATCTATTTCATCATGAATTTTCACCTACAGTTTTATTTTCTTGTGATATATTTGTCTAGTTTTGGTGTCAGGGTAATGCTGATGACAATGTTTTCCCCTTTTCAAGTTGTTTTTTTTTTTTTAATTTAAGGACTGATGTTATTTCTTCAAATTTTTGGTAGAATTCACTAGTGAAGCCATCCTGAGCTTTTCCTCGTTAAAAGGTTTTTCATTACTAATTCAATCTCTATACTAGTTCTTAGACGTTCTGTTTCTTCATGGTTTGTCTTGGCAGGTTTTATGTTTCTAAGAATTTACTCAATCCTTCTAGATTATACAGTTTGTTGGTATATAACTGTTCTTATTAGTCTCTTATGATCCTTATTTCTGTGGCATCAGTTGTAAATCACTCCTTTCATTTCTGATTTTATTTATTTGAATTTTAAATCTTTTTTACTTAGTGTAGCTGAGTTTGTCAATTTTGTTGATCTTTTCAAATAATAACTCTCAGTTTTGTTGATTTTTTTATCCATTTCATTTATTTCTCCTCTAATGTTTATTTCCTTCCTTCCACTACATTTGTGCTTAGTTTGCTCTTCTCTAGTTCCTTGAGGTAAAGTTGTAAGTTTGCAGGTCTTTCTTATTTTTTAATGTAAGCATTTATTGCTAGAACTTCCCTCTTAGTATTGCTTTTGCTGCATCCCATAATTTTTGGTAGAGTGTGTTTTCATTTTTGTCTCAAGATATTTTCTAATTTCTTTTTTGATTTCTTATTGAGGCAATGGTTGTTTAGGGATGTATTGTTTAATTTCTATATATTTATACATTTTGGAGTTTTCTTCCACTATTGATTTCTAGTTTTATTACATTGTGGTCAGAAAGGATACTTGGTATCATTTCAATCTTCTTAAATGTATTAAGGTTTGTTTCATGGCCTAACGTGTTATCTATTTTGGAGAATATTCCATGTGTGCTTGAGAAAAATGTATATCTTGCTGCTGTTGGGTGGAAAGTTCTGTATATATGTTAAGTCCATTTGGTCTATAGTGTTATTGAAGCCCGCTGATTCCTTTTAATATATCTGGATAATCTGTCTATTATTGAAAGTAGAGTACTGAAGTCTCTTACTATGATTGCATTGCTATCTATTTCTCCCTTCAGTTCTGACAATATTTGCCTTATATATTTAGGTGCTCTGATATCAGATGTGTATATATTTATAATCATTATTTTCTTCTTGGTGGATAGACCTTTTTATTGTCCTTCTTTGTCTCATGATAATTTTTGACTTAAAGTCTATGGTGTCTGCAATAATAATAGCCATCCCTCCTCACTTTTGTTTACTATTTGCATAAATTATCATTTGCATGAAACATGTTTTTCAGTCTTTATATATCCTTAAATGGAAAGGGAGTTTACTGTAGACAGCATATGGTTGGGTCTTGTTTTTTATTTTTTATTTTTCTAAATCAATTCAGATACTTTGTATCTTTCGATTGGGGAGATCAATTTATTAACATTTAAAATAATTATTGACAGGGAATGATTTGCCATTTTGTTAGTTGTTTTCTGTTTGTCTTATAACCCTTTTGTCTGTCCTTTCCTCTCTTGCTGTCTTCCTTTATGTTTTTTATTGATATGCTTTGATTTCTTTTTATTTTGTGTAACTTCTTAGGCATTCTTTGTGTGTGTGGTTACCTTAGGACTTACATAAAATCTAATGCTCTATTTTAAGCAATAACACCTTAAGTTCAATAGTATACCAAAACTCTACACTTAAACTTCTCTTCCCCTAACACATACTTTATAGTATTGTTGTCACAATTTTCATCTACTTATATGGTGTATCTTCTAACATAATTTTCAGTTAGAGTTATTTTTACTAATTGTATCCTTTGAATTACTTTACTGCAATTACTTTTGCACTGTCCTAATAGAATTAAGTGATGTACCCATCATCATCTCACACTACAGTATTCTGAATTTGTTTGTATATTTACCCTTAGCAATAAGTTTTACACATTTTTTTTTTTGAGACAGAGTTTCACTCTTGTTGACCAAGCTGGAGTGCAATGGCACAATCTCAGCTCACCGCAACTTCTGCCTCCCGAGTTCAAGTGATTCTCCTGCCTCAGCCTCCCGAATCGCTGGGATTACAGGCATGTGCAACCACCCCCAGCTAATTTTGTATTTTTAGTAGACACAGGGTTTCTCCGTGTTGGTCAGGCTAGTCTCAAACTCCCAATCTCAGGTGATCTGCCTGGCTTGGCCTCACAAGTGCTGGGATTACAGGTGTAAGCCACCATGTCTGGCCTAAGTTTCACACTTCCTTCTGCTATTGCATTGCTGTTTAACATACTTTTCTTTCAATTTCGGTATTTTTTCAGTCTTTAAAAAGTTTATTTCTTTTATATTGACAGATAACATTGTATGTTTTTATCACATATAACACAGTATTTTGAAATATATATACATTGTGGAATGGTTAAACTTATTATAGTTAAAAGCATTCCCTCACATAGTTATCATTTTGTGATAAGATCACATAACATCTACACTCTATATTTTTCAACAGTGCAATATATCATTACCTATAATCACCTTGTAATACATTAGATATCTTACAATTTATTCCTGCTACATAACTGTAATTATGTTATTCTTTGACCAACATGTCCTCATCCATTCCTCCTCATTAACCACCTCAGCTGCCGGTAAGTAACTTTCCTCTCTCTACTTCAATGTAATCAATTTTTTAAAATTCCACATATGAGTGAGATGATATGGAATTTGTCTTTCTGTTTCTGGCTTATTTCCCTTAACGTAGGTCCTCCAGGTTCATCCATGTTGTCGCGAATGAGAAGATTTCATCATTTTATATGGCTGAATAGTATTCCATTGTGAATATATACCATATTTTCTTTATCTATTTATCCAATGATGGATAATTACATTGATTCCATATCTTGGCCATTGTGAATAATGTTGTGACGAACATGGGAATGCAGATATCTCTTGGATATATTGACTGCAATTCATTTAGTTATATACCAAGTAGTGGTATTGCTGGATCACATATGGTATTTCTATTTTTAATTTGAGGAATCTCCATACTATTTTCTACAATGGTTATACCAATTTACATTACCTTCTCTCCATATGTTCACCAGTACTTATTATCTTTTGTCTTTTTGATAATGGCAATTCTAAATGAGGTGAGGTGATAGCTCACTGTGGTTTTGATTTGCATTTCCCTGATGATGAGCGATGTTGAGCATTTCACTATATACTTGTTGGCCATTTATAATATGTCTTCTTTTGAAAAATGTCTCTTGTCATTCATAGTTTGAGGAATTACACTTAATTATTTAATCTATTTTAATTTTTTAATATAGTGAGAAATGAGTGTTTCATGTCATTCTTCCACATGTGCATATACATGTCTATTTTGTCCATTTTTCAACTGGGTTGTTTGGTTTTTTATGGTGAGTTGTCTGAGTCCCTTATACTCTTGAATGTATAGTTGACAAATATTTTCTCTCATTCTGTAGGTGGTCTTTTTTTCCCAAGTCTTTTATTGTCACTTTCAGCATAAGTGATGGTTTGTCCAACATACTTTGAAGTCTGCTTATAGTAATAACTATTCTGCTACTAAGTACGGTTTCCTTTGCATTGTCCTCCCTCTTCAAGTTTCATACATTTGAGAATTAATCCTGACTGGTTGCAATAGAATATGTACCATTTTCTTTTGAGCCTAAATGATGGTGATGAGGTTAATGTTCTCATTGCCTTTGAATTACCATTTTGATTCAGAACTCGGAATAAAAATAGAATTTATATCCTCCAGGTAAGTAGATATTTATTATATCTGTTCTTATAGTGTGATTGTTAAGAGCATTGACTCTGAGCCACATTGCCTAGGTTTGAACACTAATTCTGATACTTACAAGCAACACGATCTTGGGTAAGTTAATTCATATTCCGCCTTAATTGTTTCATGTGTAATGGTACTCCTCTCATAGGGTTTTTAAAAATTTGACATGTGTCATTCTTTTTCTTTTTAGTTGACATATAGTAATTGTACATGTTTATAAGAGAGAGTGCTTTTTTACATTTGAACAATGTGTAATGACCAAATCATGATAATTAGCATATCCATCACCTTAAATATTCATCATTTATTTGTGTTATGAACATTCAAAATCTTCTCCTTCAGCTTTTATAAATATACACTAAATAATTGTTAATCATATTCAACCTATAGTGCTACAGAATGCTAAAACTCATTCTTTCCATATAGATGTAATTTTGTGTCCATTAACCAACTTCTCCCTTTCTTCTCCTTGACTTCTACTCTTCCTAGTTTCTAATAACGACAATGCTACTTTAATTCTGTGAGCAGAATTTCTGTTTAACCCTCCAATATGAGTAAGAACATATTTATTTTTCTATAACTAACATTTCACTTGTAGATTGTCTTTTCACTCTGTTGTTTCCTTTGCTATGCGAACATTTTTGTGTGTGATATAATCTCATTTGTCTATTTTAACTTTTGTTGCCTGTGCTCTTGAGTTCTTATTCAAAAAACTCCTTGCCCATACCCATGTCATGAAGCATTTCCCCTGTTTTCTTCCAGTAGGTTAATAGTTTAAGGATTTACACTTAATTATTTAATCTATTTTAATTTTTTAATATAGTGAGAAAAGAGTGTCTCATGTCATTCTTCCACATATGCATATACAGTTTTCCCAATATTATTTATTAAGGAGACTTTCCTTTCTTTATTGCAAGCTTTTGGCACATTTGTCAAAAATCAATTGGCTGTAAATGTGTGGATTTTTATGTTGGGCTCTCTAATATGTTCCATCAGCCTATGTATCTGTTTTTATGCCAGCACCATGCTGTTTTGGTTACTATAGCATTGTGGTATACTTTGAAGTCAGGTAATGTGATGCCTTCGGCTTTGTTCTTTTTGGTCAAGACTGCTTTGGTTATTTAGAGTCTCTTATGGTTCCATACAAACTTTGTGGTGTTTTTTCTATTTCTGTGAAGAATGGTATTGGTATTTTGATAGAAACTGTATTGAATCTATAGATCACACTGAGTGGTAAAAATATTTTAACTATATTAATTCTCCTAATCCTTGAATATGGGATAGCTTTCCATTTATGTGTCTTCTTCAATTCTCTTATCAATGTCTTATAATTTCCAATGTAGAGACCTCCTTTCACCTCCTTAAATTTATTCCCAGTTTTTTTAATGGATATGGTAAATAGAATTGTTTATTTCTTTCACAAATAATTTACTATTAGCATATACATATACTACTGACTTTTGCATGTTGATTTTATAACCTGCAACTTAACTCACTTATAAATTCTAAAAGCCTTTTAGTGGAGTATTTAGGGATTTCTATGTATAAAATCATGTCATCAGCAAAAAGGGACAATTTAACTTCCTCCTATCAAATTTGGATGCCTTATATTTCTTTCACTTGCCTAGTTGCTCTGGTCAGGACTTCCAGTATTATGTTGTATAGGACTGCTAAGAGTGGACATCCTTACCTTGTTCCGGATGTCAGAAAAAAAGTTTTTAACTTTTTCCCATTCAGTATGAGGTTAGCTGTGGGTCTTGTCAATTGTGGCCCTTATTGGGTTGAGGTACAATCCTTCTATCTAATTTACTGAAAATTTATATCATAAAGGAATGTTGACTTTTGTCATATGCCTTTTCTCCGTGTATTAAAATGACCATATGGTTTTTGTCCTTCATTCTGTTAATATGATGTATTATGTTTGTTGATTTGAATATGTTGAACCATCTTTGTATTCCTGCAATAAATCTCACTTGGTCATAATGAATGATCTTTTTAATGTGCTGTTGAATTTGGTTGAGTATTTTGTTAAACGTTTTGCATCTATGTTCATCAGGAATATTTGCCTGTAGTTTTCTTTTTTATTATGTCCTTACCTGGTTTTGGTATCCAGGTATTTATCTATTTCTTCTAGGCTTTCCAATCTGTTGGCATAAAATTGTTCATAAGAGTCTGCCAATCCTTTGAATTTCTGTGGTATCAGATGTAACTTTTTTTCATCTCTGATTTTATTTATTTGGTCTTCATTCTTTTTTCTTAGTGTAGCTAAAAGTTTACCAATTTTGTTTATATTTTTAAAAAACCAACATTTTTTTTATTCTTTTCAACTTTTATTTTAGGTTTAAGGGGTACGTGTGCAGGTTTGGTACATGGGGAAATTGCATGTTATCAGGGTTTGGTGTACAAATAGTTTTGTCACCCAGGTAATTAGCATAATACTTGATAGGTAGTTTTTCAATCCTCACCCTCCTCCCACCCTCCACCCTAAAATAGGCACCAGTGTCTACTGTTCCCTTCTTTGTGTCTGTGTGTACACAACGTTTAGCTCCCATTTATAAGGAGCACATGGAGTATTTGGTTTTCTGTTCCTGTGTTAATTTGGTTAGGATAATGGCCTCCAGCTCCCTCTATGTGCTGAAAAGGCCATGACCTCATTTTTAAAAATAGCTATGTAGTATTCCATGGTGTATATGTAGCACATTTTCTTCATCCAGTCCACCATTGATGGGCACTTAGGTTGATTCCATGTCTCTGCTATTGTGAATAGTACCGCAATGAACATACACACGCATGTGTCTTTATGGTAGAACAATTTATAATTTCTTTGGCTATATATCCAGCAATGACACTCTTGGATCAAATGGTAGCTCTGCTTTCAGTTCTTTGGAAAACCTCTAGATTGCTTTCCACAATGGCTTAACTAATTTACATTCCCACCAGCAGTGTACAAGTGTTACCTATTCTCTCCAACCTTGCTGGCATCTGTTATTTTTAAAAAATTGTAGTAATAGCCATTCTCACTGGTGTGAGATGGTAGCTTATTGTAGTTTTGATTTGGATCTCCCTAATGATTAGTGATATTAAGCACTGCAACTAAGGTTTATTCTGGTCTCAAGGCTGCTGAAGTAGGCAAGAAGTGATGTTGGTTGAGTTCTGAGTCTGCTTTGCTGGGGCCCATGGGTTCCTAACTGACACCAGGGCAGGTCTAGAGGCTCTGCCTGTGCATATCAGTCTAGAGTCAGGAGCTGTGGTGGGGAGGGATCTGCCAGATATTGAGTTTTACTGTGGTGGGCACTATACTGGGTTCTACAGCAAACCTCTATGCTTATACTTTCCTTTCCTTCGCCAAGTGAATGATTTTTCTCTCTGTGCTGTGCTGCCTGGTGTTGGAAAAAGGGAGACATGAGTTATCTTCTGGTTGCTGAACTTATACCCAAAGTCCACTGCTACTAAGATGAGAATGGCACCAGGGCATGCCTAAGGCCCGCAGCAGCTATAATCTGCCTGCCACTGAGGTTTCTTCAGGGCCTAAGGGCACTGTAGTCGGTCAGCGGTCATGCAGGCCAGAACTCAAGTTCATTCCACCATGGCCATGGGTTCCTGTCTGGCACCTGGACATGCTAAGGCCTTCAGTAGCTACAGCCCGCCTGCCACTGAGGATTAGTGGGGGCTTGAGGCCACTGTAGTTAACCAGTGGTAATGCAGACTGGAACTTCAGCCCATTGGATGGTGTTGTGGATTTTCATGACACCAAGGTGGTCTAGAGCAGGAGTTCCCCAAACCCTGGCCACAGTACCAGTCTGTGGCCTGTTAGGAACCAGACCACACAGCAGGAGGTGAATGGCAGGTAAGCAAGTGAAGAGTCATCTGTATTTACAGCTGATCCCCGTCACTCGCATTACCACCAGAGCTCCGCCTCCTGTCAGATCAGCTGCAGCATTAGATTCTCATTGGATTGTGAACCCTACTGTAAAGTACACATGCAAGGGATCTAGGTTGCATGCTCCTTGTGAGTATCTAATTCCTGATGATCTGTCACTAATCTAATTCCTGATGATCCATCACCCCCAGATGGGACCATATAGTTGCAGCAAAACAAGCTTAGCACTCCCACTGATTCTACATTATGGTGACTTGTATAGGGTGACTATCACTGAAGAGTCTTACTTCACCATTGCTATGGTTTGAATGTCTCCTCACAGGCAACCTACAGAATGGGAGAAAATTTTTGCAATCTACTCATCTGACAAAGGGCTAATATCCAGAATCTACAAAGAACTCAAACAAATTTACAAGAAAAGAAAACAAACAACACCGTCAAAAAGTGGGCAAAGGATATGAACAGACACTTCTCAAAAGAAGACATTTATGAAGCCAACAGACTCATGAAAAAATGCTCATCATCACTGGCCATCAGAGAAATGCAAATCAAAACCACAATGAGATACCATCTCATACCAGTTAGAATGGCGATCATTAAAAAGTCAGGAAACAACAGGTGCTGGAGAAGATGTGGAGAAATAGGAACACTTTTACACTGTTGGTGGGACTGTTAACTAGTTCAACCATTGTGGAAGACAGTGTGGCGATTCCTCAAGGATCTAGAACTAGAAATACCATTTGACCCAGCCATCCCATTACTGGGTATATACCCAAAGGATTATAAATCATGCTGCTATAAAGGCACATGCACATGTATGTTTATTGTGGTACTATTCACAATAGCAAAGACTTGGAACCAACCCAAATGCCCATCAATGATAGACTGGATTAAGAAAATATGGCACATATACACTATGGAATACTATGCAGTCATAAAAAAGGATGAGTTCATGTCCTTTGCAGGGACATGGATGAAGCTGGAAACCATCATTCTCAGCAAACTATCACAAGAACAAAAAACCAAACACCACATGTTCTCACTCATAGGCGGGAATTGAACAATGAGAACACTTGGACACAGGAAGGGGAACATCACACACCAGGGCCTGTTATGGGGTGGGGGAAGGGGGGAGGGAAAGCATTAGGAGATATACCTAATGTTAAATGACGAGTTAATGGGTGCAGCACACCAACATGGCACATGTATACATATGTAACAAACTTACACATTGCGCACATGTACCCTAGAACTTAAAGTATAATTAAAAAAAAAGAAATTTAATCTCCAATGTAGCAGTATTGACAAGTGGAGCCTTTAAGAGGTAACTCAATCATGAAAGCTCTGTCCTAATGAATGAATTAATGGGTTAATGAATTAATGAAGCATCATAGGAGGAGAACTAGTGGCTGTATAAGAGAAGAAAGACCTGAGCTAGAATATTAGCACACTCTGCTCCCTCACCATGTGATGCCCTGCACCACCTCGGGACACCACAGAGTCCCTACCAGCAAGAAGGTTCTCACCAAATGCCTTCCCTAGACCTCAGACTCCCCAGCCTTCATAAATGTAATAAATAAATTCCTTTTCTTTATGAATTTCTCAGTTTTAAGTATTCTATTACAATCAACAGAAAAATGGACTAAGAGAGCTGATATGGTTTGGCTCTGTGTCCCCACCCAAATCTCATCTCAAATTGTAATCACCATGTGTCAAGGTTGGGAACTGGTGGCAGGTGACTGGATCATGTAATCCCTTGCTGTTCTCTTGATAATGAGGGAGTTCTCATGAGATCTGATGGTTTTAAAGTGGGGCATTTCCCCTTTGCTTGCTCTCTCACCTGTCACCATGTAAGACATGCCTTGCTTCCTCTTTGCCTTGCGCCATGATTGTAAGTTTCTTAAGGCCTCCCCAGCCATGCAGAACTGTGAGTCAATTAAATCTCTTTTGCTTATAAATTACCCAGTCTCAGATAGTATCTTTCTAGAAGTGTGAGAATGGACTAATACAACAGCTATCTTGCTTCCCTTTTGCTTCAACTTAAAGAACTCTTTAGCATTTCTTGCGAGTCAAATCTAGTGGTGGTAAACTTCCTGAGCTTTTGTTTGTCTGGGAAAGGTTTTATCTCTCTTACATTTTTGAAGGACAGTTTCGTTGAATATACTATTCTTGATGGACAGTATTTTTTTTCTTTTAGGATGTGAATATATTGCACCACTCCTTTCTGTCCTGCAATTTTTCTGCTAAAAACTGTGGATTATCTTATAAAGATTCCCTTGTATGTGACAATCCACTTTTTCTTGCTGCTTTAAAAATCCTTTCTTTGTCCTTGACTTCTGACAGTCTGATAATAACATATCTGAACATAGATTTCTTTGGGTTCATTTTATTTGGTGTTCTTTGGGCTTCCTGGGTTTGGATATCTACATTCCCCAGATTTGAGAGGCTTTCAATCATTACATCTTTTTTCTTTTTCATAAAATCAGGGTCTTGTCATGTTGTCCAGGCTGGTCTCAAACTCTTGGGCTCAAGCAATCCTCTGACATCAGCCTCTCAAACTGCAGGGAATACAGGCATAAGCCACCATACCTAGCTCTCATCATTTGTTTAAATAAGCCTTCTGGTCCTTGATATGCTTCTTCTCATTATGGATCTTCTATAATACACAGTGGCCCACTTTAATTGTACCCCATAAGTCCCGTAAGCCTTCTTCCCTGTTCTTCATTCTGTTTTCCTTTTGCTTTTCTGTCTGAATTATTTCTAGTTACCTGTCTTTGGGTTCACTGATCCTTTCTTCTACTTTATGTAGCCTGCTATTGACCCCTCTAGTGATTTTTTTTTCAGTTCTATTATTGTGTTCTTCAGCTCCATGCCTTCTGTTTAGTACTTTTAAATATTTTCTCTTTCCTGAAAATTCTAGTTTTGTTCATGAATTGCATTATTGACCTCAGTGAGTCTCTTTTTAAGAGTTATTTTAATTCTCTATCAAGTAAGTCATATAAATCTATTTCATTAGGGTTGGTTTCCATTATCTTATTCTTTGTTTAAATATTTTTGTCTGATTCTTCATTTTCCTTGACTCTCTATGTTGCTTTCTGCACTTTAGGCAAAGCAGGCATCTCTCTCAGTCTTCCTGAAATGTTCTCATAGAGAAGTACCCCACCAATTGGCCTAGACAGAGATTCTGAGGACTTCTATCTACTCTTTCCTTTCCCATGGAGATACAGGCATCTGTGGTCTTTATCTTCTCACTCTGTGCTGACCCCAGTGGGGTAGCTATGGCATCTACCAGCTCAAGCCACCACCTTGGTTCTCCCCAGGTAGCTAGATGTTCCAGACCCATCAGAGCTTCAGGACTGGTGAGATGTGTGCTAGTTCTTTTGGCACCCCCAAAGAAGCTGGGGCACTGGATGCACAGATCCACTCTTTTCAACCTAAGGGGTAAGCTGAGAGCTGGGATTTTTCATCTGTCCTCTGTGCTAAGCAGCAGGGCAGGGAGGGTCAGAAGTGTTTATCAGCGCAATTTGCTGCCTCCATTCTTGTCTAGGCAGCTAGGCTGTTTCAGAGCTGTCAGTGCTCCAAGACTGGCAAGACAGAAGCCAATTCTCTGGGGAGCCCCTTTGGAAAAATTGAGGTGCTAAACACATGAACAAAGTTCTTACCTCCCTTAGGTGAAGCTGCAACCTAGGAAATCTCTCCTTGACCATATGGCACTGCACCAGGAGCAAGGTTTCTGGTAAGAGGGCATCCTGAATTTCCTTACTGGTGTTAATGAATCTGGTTTCATGTTCTCCTGGGGTTCAGAAACTTTTCAATTACATTGTCATTTCTCACAAAGGGAATTTATATGTGAATTGTAGCTGAATCTGTGTGTTTGTAAGAATGAAAGCCCAGGCTTCCTATTCTGCCACTTTGCTGATATCACTCCTTTTCCATTGGTATTAATACATCCAATAAAACCAGTTTTCTTTTTATGCAACTTTTATTAGGTTTAGTTATCACTCTTATAATTGCTTCATAAAAACAATTTGAATTTTTTTCTTTTTTGAAACTATACTCAGAACAGGGGTTGGTAAAGTTTTTCTGTAATAGGCCAAACAGTAAATATTTTAGGCTTTCCAGACTACACAATCTCCAATAAAACTTTATTTAAAATAATAACAGGCAGGCCATATTTGTCCCACTGGCCATAGCTTGGCAATCTTTTTTTAAGAACAGTCTATGTAGCATTGGTATTATCTAATATTTGAAAAATTCATAAAATTCCATTATAAAGTCATCTGTGACTTGTACTTTTGGGTGGGAGTAGTAATTTAATAACTTTCTCATTTTCTTAAACTTTCTGTCTCCATTGGTATCACTGTTAATAATTTCCCTATGGGATTACCCATTTTATGTAGGCTTTTATATCTACCTGCTTAGAGCTGTGTAAAATGATTTAACTCAAAAGTTTAAAAATGTCCTTAGTTTTAGTATGATTTCCTCTTGTTTCGTGTATTATTCTGTGTAAGTTTGTTTTCTCCCTGTTTTTCTTGATTAGGTTGGATGTTGGTTTGCATATTTTGTTTATGTTCTATTCAAAGAACTAGCATGTTGATTAATTTATAACATAGCTTACAATCAGAACTAACTGAAGTTCTGCTCTTATCTCTTTATGTCTGTTTCCTTTTGCTTTATTTTCTTAATCGTTTTTCTAGCTTTCTGTGTTTCATATTAGATTTATGTATTTTAATTTATAATTCTATTGATATATGATTTAAAGACTACAAATTGTTTTTGATAATTATTTTCATTATATTCCATAAATTCTGATATATATATCACTATTTTGATGTTTATATGTTCACCTATTTTGATTTGTATTTTCTACTTGATCTAATAGTTGTTTAATGAAGAGTTTTAACATTTTCAAGTGGAAGAAAATTTTTCTGAATTTTAAATTATCGTGTCATTATTCATATGAAATGCATAATACAGTATACTGCTATTGGCTCTACCAATTGTGATGATTTTCTTTACCAGGGTCATTCAGGGTTAGCCCTTAGTAGAGATGTAATTGAGCAACAGTCTGTAACCAGCTAATGGCAACCAATCCTCTGACTTGTCTATGAAGCAGGCATAACTTCTTTCCTCCTCTGTCAATTGGTTTTAGGTATTTCCTTCCAATCCCATAAGATTATATATGTAGGTCAAGAGGGAGGCATTTTTGCAACAGATGGAATTCTGGGCTCGGTGTACATCTAATTCACTAATAGCTTTTGAAAAGTCAAGGCTAACATCCTAAATATACCATGTCTCCCACCCAATTTTATGACTCAGTGAATATAATATGTAACTCATGATGGACAGCACAGGTAACATAGTCATTTGGCATTCCATGGTTCAGTCTCTACAAGGGCCCAGGAGCATGTCAGGAGTTGCTTTGAAAATGGATAGTAACTGCTATGACTCCTCTAGAGGGCTTTCCAATAGAACATTTTATCTACCAGGTGCATTAAGTTTTATCAGATCTATAAAATCATACATCCCAAGTAGTACAGTAGCTTGCAAAGCATCTTTGACTTAGGAGACAAACACTACCAGCTTTTTCTCTAGGCTTTCACTCAAAACTGGCAGACTTTTGGGTGATATAAAAATTAGTTGGTTCAGTAATTTCAAGGACATTATAAACTATGATTCAAATCCAAAAGCCCCATCAAGTGATGTGACACTTTCTTAGGGGAAGTAAAATTGCTTATGCTTTAATTTAGAGGAGATGCTCTGTATGCCCCAGACCCTAAGACCCTCAAAATCTTCATATCTGGTACAGGCCCCTGGATCTTTGTGGTATTTTCTTCCCATCCTCTGAAACATGAATCTTATGAGTTATAAAGGTACTCGCCAGGTCTGCTCACTAGATCCAGTTAGCATTACATAGGCAAAAAAGTGAATTGGTATACTTTCCAAAGAATGTCCAGACAATCAAGATTACTGAGAATTATATTATGACTGAGAGCATGAAAAATAACATAGTCCTGGAGAAAGATTTTGAATTTACACTGCAGTCCTTTCTTTCATTCCCCTCTGTTGATGAATATGGGGTCCATCCCACATCCATGTGAAAAAAAGATTTCACTAAATATGTAACTGTATCTTAGGTACCATAGGTTGTGTTGATCTATACACATAAAAGCTAGGCAGCTGTGATTGGGACTGTCACCTGGTTATTTTTATAGCGATGTACTATTACCAACCTCAATCTATTTTTTTTTTTTTTGCAAAACCTACACAATGGAACTCAACAATATGTATTGGTGACCACTACCATTATGTCATTCAAGTCTAATTGTGCTAATAATCTCTGCAGTTCCTTCAGAGATGCTGTATTGCTTCTGATTACAATATTGGCAGAGGAAGACAGTTTCAGGAGATTCCATTTTCCTTTCCCACTATGTGCCTCTAATTACAGGGTAAGCAAACCAATATGAGTATTATTCCAGCTACTAAGCATATCTGTCAAATTATACATTTGGAGAAAATAACTGGGTATGTCTGCATACCCACTAGATCTACTGTGAGATTAGACTTGGGCCAAAACTCCGTCTATCAACTGGGTATTTATTCCATATGTCTCGCCTCTAACTGGAGGACCATAATTGCTTTTTTAAAAATTTCCCAGTATTAATGTCTGCTCTGACCCTATATCTAACAGTCCTGAAAACTAAACAGTTACTCCTGCAAACAATCACAGATGTTTCTATAATTACTATATGTACTTATTAGAGCATTTCAGGATTCTTTTTCAGTGACAACTAGCTCCTTTTTTAATCAATAGATTCTGAATCTGCAAACTAACTTATATTTGAAAACCTGATGAGATATTGTGATTTTCCATTTTGATGGTGACTGTCAAAAATTAAACTACTCTTAATTTTTTTCTGATCATACAAGGCAAACAACATCCCAGTCAGCTTCCCACCTTATTTTGCTCCTATAAACATCATGGTATATTAGCCATTACCATAGATTCCTGCATTGCCACTCCAGCCTTGCTGCTTATTATGGTAATTAAGCCCATATTGCCAGATGGTTAAATTTTGTGACCTGGCCTCTACAATCCATGAATATTATGGAACCTGGCTCTCTTGCATCAACTCCTACTGTCAACAAGGGCCTTAAAAGGGACAACCACTACCAAGCTTCTCAAATATGCTAATATTTTCCTTTCTAGGGCATTTCTTATTAGGTTAAGTGAAGACAGTCTCCTCAGAAGCCTCCTAGGGAACACAGTCAAAAGGTGAGTTGCCAGAACAAACATAATACATTCATTTTAACATTATCATCCCCTGATCCCTTCTTTAATACCATACCCAAAGACTCTGACATCTCTACTTTATTTACTATATGGCTTTTTTTTAGTCTAGGCTTCAAGGAGCCATGCCAGCAAATTACTACTAGGACCATATCCAAGTGTCCCTGCCAAAGCACCGAATCCAAAATCATAAGTAACTGCCCCCATAAAAATAAACCCTCCTCTAGGCAGCCCCCAAGTTCAAGTCCTTAAAAACCACTCTAAACACATTTCATTGGTGAATGGCAGTATTAGTCATATCCTCAATTCCTTTGGTAGGTATTCTATTTCTTTCAAATATAGTTTATTTATTCCTTGAGGAAGATTTATGCTTCTGTGTTAGGCTGTGCTGAGATCTGAGATCTGATTCTGGTTCTTTGCCTGGATGTAATGATACTGGAGGTGGTCTTGTGGGGAAAAACATCATCATACGAGGAAATTATTTTAGGTGAAGTCATTACACGGTCACCCAGAAAAGGGAAACTGTTCTCCTCCAGAAATGGTGAAAGAGGTACTTCTGCTGACCAGAAGTGTTTGAGGAAATTGGGGGTTGCTGGGGTTTACAATATTCTCAGGCTTATCTATATAAATTTTTCCATCCCAGGTTAATGGTTGAATAGTGCTCTCAAAAATTCATGTGCACCCAGAACCTCAGAATGTGACTTTATTCAGAAATAGAATCTTTGCAGATGTAATTAGTTAAGGATTTCAAGAAGAAATCATTCTGGATTTAGGGTGGGCCCTAAATCCCATCCTAGGCCCACCCTAAATCCAATGACTCCTGTTGTTATAAAAAGAGGAGAAGACATAGAGAAGATCATGTGAAAATGGAAAATGAAGGCAGAGATTGGTGTTATACTGCCACAAGTCAAGGAACATCAGGAGCCACCTAAGCTGGAAAAGGCAAGGAAGAAGTCTCCCCTAGAGTCTTCAGAGGGAGCACGGCCTAACTGACACCTTAGTTTTAGACTTCTGGTTGTTAGAACTAGGAAAAAATAAACTTCTTTGTTTTAAGTCATCCACTTTGTGGTCATATGTTATGGCAGCCATAGGAAACTAATATACAAAGGTCATACTCTTTCCTTATCAGGGCTCTGACTTTAACAAATGAGACCTATCAAAGTTATGTATTTGGTCTCCTTATAAGCAGCTCCTGGGCCTATTTTTAGCACAGTCTTCCCTAGAGCTACATGAGGTAGGAGTTCCTTTAAATCTACTTTAGAGGACTTCTGGGATTTGGTAAATCAGTAATTAATTGTTCTGAGATGATGTAGGAAGAATAAAGGACTCCCAAAGACACCCACACTCTAATCTTTGGAATCTGTCAATATGTTCTTTACATAACAACAACAACAACATAAAATATTTTATAAAAGTGAAGAACGTTTCCCAGTTGTGGTGAGAAAGAGGCACAATTGCGGAAGAAGAGTCAGAGAGATACTATGCTGTTGGATTTGAAGATAGACAAAGGGGCTGCAAGCCAAGGAATTTTGCAGCCTCTGAAAAAGCCAAGAAATCAGATTATCTTCTAGAATTACTAAAAAGGAATGCAACCCTGCAGATACCTTGATTTTTGCCCAGTGAGACCTGTGTTGAACTTCTGGCCTACAGAACTGAAAGATAATAAATTGTTTTGTTTTAAGCTATTGAATTTATGATAATTTATTTTGACAATGGGAAACTAACACAAGTGCCCTCAAAGGAAGTTATTTTATTTCATCATCATTATGTAATTATCATTACCCCATATCAATTAAACACCATGACTACTTTATCTCCCTTTATCTTATCTTTCTAGCAGAGAAAGATTAGTCCCTAATCACAGAAGAACATTTTTAAAGTAACTGTGATGTCACTGCATGGAAGAGTTTAATTCATTTCACCTGGTACCTTCAACAGGTTTGCTTATTTTAGACAGGAGACAACCTAACTTCAAAAATCCAATACTGAGGGTTTACAGACTAGGACAGGAGTTGGCAAACTTTTTATGTAAAGGCCAGATAGTGAACATTTTAGGCTTTGCATCCCAACTGCTCAGCTTTACTCTTACAGCAAGAAAGCAGCCACAGACATATGTTAATGAATGAGCATGGCTGTGTTCAATAAAACATTTTGAGAAAACAGGCAGCATGCCAGATTTGGTTTGTGGCTGTATTTTTCAGTCCCTTATCGAGAATAATTGTAGTAACTGTTATCTTAACCAGAAGTGTGTACAAAAAAAGCTTGAGGCAGGGTTTAGTCCTAGTGTTTAAGGGAGGAGTGCAATCTCAGGGTTGTAATAATAAAAGAAAGATGATTCATTATCACTCTACTATTTCATGGGGAGAAGCAGAAGAGACATCACTGGTCAGGTGTAGCATGGTCTTGCAAGAAATCTCCAAAAGTTTATGTGAGAAAACTATGACTCAAATTAGCCAAATAATAAGGAGGAAGAGAGGAAGAATTTATTACTTGTCTCTTGCCTAACATTGGTCAAGGTTTTCTCCATGGGAGGTTAACACCCCCTCTCTTCAGAATTGTGTCATTTGACCCCTTTGGTGTGTGTTATGGAAGCCAGATTGAATGCCTTATGTTGTAGCACATCTTCTGAATCCAGAATTAATGAAAGGAGCCAGAGACCTGGGAATAGCTCAATTAATTTTGCCAAACATGAAGTGAAGCAAACAGCCGTTGTTTGGGAGAGCATTTGTTTGGGAGACAAGAGAAGCTAAGAGAATTCAAGCAGATTCACTCAATGCTGTATCAAATCAATACAGGCATCTCTCAGCTCAAGAGTACCCTTTTGTATTCGATAGACCAATGCACAGTTTCTTTATAAATGATATATTGGGGGAAAGATGGCCTATTTTCTGATTCTATGACATTATCTTGATTTTTTTTTTGAGATGGAGTCTTGCTCTGTTGCCCAGGCTGGAATGCAGTGGCATAATGTCAGCTCACTGCAACCTCCACCTCCTGGGTTCAAGCAATTCTCTTGCTTCAGCTTCCAAGTAGCTGGGACTACAGGCGCATGCCACCACACAAGGCTAATTTTTTGTGTGTTTTTGGTAGAGACAGGGTTCCACCATGTTGGCCAGGCTGGTCTTGAACTCCTGACCTCAGGTGATCCACCCACCTCGTCCTCCCAAAGTGCTGGAATTACAGGTGTGAGCCACTGCGCCCAACCATATTATCTTGATTTTGTAGGAACCTTAACTTTAGCAGTTTGTTCCTTCTTGCACTTCACCAATTAGCTTCCAAGGGAAGCTTTCCCCTTCCAAGTTGAATTTATCCCAGAAATACAAATATGTTTAAAGTTAGAAAATCTATTAACATAATTCAACAAATTAACAAATTAAGAAATAATAATCTTGATACATGTAGAAAGCATTCAATAAAATTTGACACTATTCATAATTTTAAACTCTTAGAATATTGGAAATAGGTGGAATGTTTTTAACTTCATAAAAGCAATCAAGGACCTGCAACAACCATTTTACTTAATGCTGAAATCGTGGAGGCATTTCCTTTGAAGTTGGAAACAAAAAAAAGTTCCCACTAAAACCATTTTTACTCAACACTGCACTGGGGTCCTAGTCAATAAAACAAAAAAGATATATATAACCATAAATATTGGAAAGGAAGAAAATTTGTCTATATTTTCAGTTTTTATAAATAGAATATTCCAGAGAATCTAAGGACAGCTATTAAAAACAAAACATTCAATGATGCAACTGAATACAAAATATTAAAAAATCAATAATATTTGATAATCTAAAGATAATCAGTTATGAAACTTCTTTAAGAAGATTAAGTCACAAGTCACAAGAGCAATAAATTCTATAAGGTACTTATCGAATTGAGCTAGCACAAGATATAAAAGACTTTTATAAAAAAATTTATAGTTATATAGCAAAACAAATGAAAGCCAAAGTAAACATATTTATAGATGGAACACCCATATCTTAACATGTAAATTTTCTATAAGTTATACACTCGAATTTCAAACAAAATCCCAATTGAGAATCACATTGAGCTTGATAAGCTGATTCCAAAATTCATATACTAGAATAATGAGTCAGAAATAGCCAAGATAATTCAGAAAAAGAAAAGGGACCAGCTTACCAGATATCAAGACATTTTGTAAGTTATTATAATTAATAAAGTATGTCATTAGTACAATAGTAGATAAATAATTCAGCAAAAGGTTAAGCCTAGGAGACCAATCCAAATATTGGAACTTGATATATGAGTGAGGTGTATAAATCAGTGAAAAATAGATTCACTATACAATAAATGAATTATTTACATGTGCAAATAAAAGTCTACTATATCAAACCATCATAAATTACATGAAGATTAAAATCTAATTGTGAAATGCAAGGTCTTAAAACCAATAGAAAAAAATAGAATTGTATTTTCTCTCTGGTAGGGAAATATTTACTGAATAAGAAACAAAAAGCAAGAATCACATGAAAAGACTGATAAAACTGCATATATTAAAATAAAAAAACTTCTGTGACAAAAGACTATTGATGGAAAAACTGATATACAAGAAGTAAAGTGATTTATTCAAGATTATATGCTAATAAATGCTAGAGCCACAACTCAAACCTATAGTTTTCTGATGCCAATATTCATTTATTTTGCAGTCCTTTTAATTTGTAATTAAACAATTGCCACATTATATTCTTTCATAAAAATTTGAACAACACAAATAAAATAAGAATAACTTTGACCATTTTCCCCAATTCCAATCTTTAGTGTTCTCCCAGATTTGTCTATATTCTTTCAGGCTTTTTTTTTTCTTAGGCATTTGAATATATAAGTACAAATATAAAGGCAATGTTCAAGTGGTTTTATACCTTACTGTTCTGCAACTTTTCTTTTAAAAAATGCGTCTTAAAGAACTTTCCATATCAACACAGCATTCCACAGTATGAATACATCAGCATTCATTTATTCAATATTCTATTAAGAGACATTTAGACTATTTTAATAGTTTGCACCATTAGTCACATAAACAGTATAGATATCGGAAATGAATTTTCTAGGTCATAACAAATTCCAAAAACGAATATATGTTTTAAATGTTGATAATGCTTAATTGCTCATCCTGGTATATATACATATATTTAGATGGCTATTTCCCAGTGCTTTTTCCATTCTCTGATATTTTAAAATTAATATTTTTAGTGTTTAACATTTTGTCGGTATGATGTTGACAAATTGTATATTGTATTTCCCTAATTACTAGTGAGACTGTTTCCTCCTCACTGCCAAATCCTTCTCTCTAGAAGTAAGAGGCAACAACATCAACTCTTAAAATCATCTTTTTTGGTAGGCTTATTTTCATATGTCTAAATATGTTTATATTGCTATTTTCTGATTTAGTCATTAGATATTATATATTGATTTCTTACTACAAGATGAGGATTTAGTACAAGTTCTTTATATATTTTACATGTTCATTATTTTTGACATGTAGGAAATATTACCTCCCACTTTGTTGCCTATCTCTTATTATGAGATTCTTGTTATAGCATATGCCCTAAAGTTTTTAGATTTTGCCCAAGAGTGTCCCTACTCCACAGTAACTAACAACCCTATCCTACAAGCATCTTTGAATACTTTCTGAGTTGTAATTTTAATGTTTATTAAACATTGGTTCTTTATGTATCTATGAGGCAGAGGTCTTACTATTCTTTTCAAAGTGAAGAACCAATTATCCAGTACCATTTATTCAATAGCTAATTATGTCCTCAGACATCTTCTTTAAAATATATAACATTTTCCCAAATACCTGAACTATTTGGGGATTTATCTATTTAGATACATTGGTCCTCTTGTGTACCCCTGTACCAATATAACACTGTATTTCTTTTTCAAAAATGTCATGGCTATTCGTATACATTTTCTTTTCTTAATAAATTTTAAAATCACCTTTTGAATTCTTAAAAAATAAACTCTGACGGCACCTGATTGGAATTACATTGTACTTGTGGATCAATTTGAAGGGATCCAATTTTATTCCTTGGGTGGGTGGACTTGCCTTTCAGGTTTGATTTTTGATAGGCTAATTCAGTTTCTATCCTTTAAAAATAAAGAACCAAACCTATATACTAAATAATTTATTAATATTAATTAATTAATATTAAAAATATCTAATTTTCATGTTTTCAACTGTTTCCTCACCATCAAAGGCAAATTATGAAATAATCAAAGTGAATAAGAATTATTTCTGTAGTCTGATAACATTTTATATATTAGTACATGTTAATGAAATCAAGATTGGCTAATTTATGTTATTTAATATTGGTCATTTTTCATTACCAAACTGAGTAACAAAGGCAAATTATAATCATATTATTAAATTCAAGCATAGAGTATTTGAAAATTAAAGTTGTTCTACATGTTATCGTTCTCAAAATGCCAGAATTAAATACCGATTTTATCTCTCAGTAAAGCTAAAGACTTAATTTGGGACCATCAGTAGCATGATTCATTCATTCATTCATTTACTCATTCGTTGATTCAACACATTTTCATTTTACATAATATAAAATGCTATCAACTGGGCTAGATACTAGATATAAAATAATAGTAAGAAACACCTTTTTTCAAGAATGAGGAAAATAAAACTAATAATAAAGATATCATAATACTCACTTTGCCTTCATCTCTTGGGCTATCGCTTAAATGTACAACTGGACCTGGATGAGTCTTAGTGGATCTGTTAAATCAATTCAAAACAGTAATTAAAAACCAAACATTAAAATACCTTACCACTAGAGACTGAAACAAAGAAATTAAGATTACACTGGAATAAAATCCCACCATTCTAGGGTTAAGCTCAGATTCACTTAAGTTTTTTATTTACTTTACCAGTCCTAACTGCATTTCTGTTTACTAATTGCAAACTACTTATTTATGTTTTTCTTTAAAAATCGGGTTAAAACACAAAGATCCTAATAACAATGGGGTTCTTTATTATTTGAAACGTTTGTTGTCAGATAAGCGCCTCTGAATTTTTTTAATTGAATTTTTATTTACATAGATAAAAGAACACTACAGCTACAAAGGTAATGGTGTAAAACTGTCTCAGTTAAATTGCAAAGTACATACCTGATTTAAGATTTCCTTTTACACGAAATCTCCTCTGATTATTTTCCCCTAAAGAAAAGTACAGTGGCACTTTTGATTTAAAAATAAATCTACTCTAGTGATAACGCTTTTACAGAAAAACAACAAATTGGAGTGAAACCTAGTTCATTGGTTATACCACACTTATCAGGTTATTTAGTATAATAAATAACAGATAATTATGAGTCTAACAGAATATTGTTAAAAGACCTGGGCTCTCTCTATCAATCTGACTTTAAATTTATTCTACTCTCATATCTGGCATGTTTCTATTATAATTCCTAGTTTAACTTACATCACTTTGAAAATGATTATGTCATGATTAAATATGATCTGATCTGATATAACAAGGGTTTTATTATTGCTCCACTTTCCACAGCCTTTCTCCACGACCTAACAGTGTCAAATTATTCTTATGATTATATTAACACAGTTTCAGTTTCTTTCTTAAGCACACATGAAAACTATCAAAGATTCTATACAAAACAATGAAGAAGATTTAAATCTTAGAAACTATTTGGAATCAGAGAAAAGTGACAAATTAATTCTAGGATCTCCTGGTGCTGACTCCTCAGAGTTACCAAGGGGAATAAACACAGATTCATTGGATATTGATGAATTTTGTTAGTGGATTCATCTTAAATATTTTCATCTAAAAATGGAAATATTAGGACTGACCTTACTGAATAATTGTGCAGATTAGAAGATACATACAGCATCTAATACTATGGCAAAACATAGTGTGCATTCAATAAATAGTATGTATTATGATTGATGTGATAATTGGAAATTAGAGTTACTATTTGCATTCTAGAATATATGCAGGAAGAAAAGAAATTAAACAGGGCTTCATAAAAAGTTTACAGATATTTCTTTAATTTTTTCCACATTTATATGTAACATATCATTTATACATAAATTCAGTGTTCTATAAAGGTATAAATGCCTCTGATAAGGTTTAATGTCTTTAAATTATCCTCCAGGAATTCATAATTGCCAACAAACCATAGCCTCTCCGTCTCTTGGTTTGATTGCACTAACACTTACCAAAGTGTACTTTACGATAAGTTAGTTGTTCTATATTTTAAAACTTTGGGAAACCCTGAATTAAAGTTAAATATTATTTCCCCTACAGAATTTCTTAGAGCCTGTACTATGCAAATAAGCATTGTAAATCTTCAGTACTTTACAAAATTATTAGTCCATTGAATCCTTTTTCATTGATCATATTAATGAAATCACAGAAATTTGTTTTGGGAAACACTACTCGGATCACATGCAAGACTCTTGTGTTTAGATCCTTAAACTATAGAATATTCTACTTCTGAAAATAATCTAACATTAAACTTCCGTTATTTGTAGTTGCTTTTTCAGACTCTAGAAGAAACATTATTTACTATCTTAAACAAACATAGAACACATCAAAAGTGAAGAGGAAAAAGGGTTCACATTATTTCACTGCATAGAGATAATGCCTATTAACATTTTGGGGTATTTCTTCTGGCTTGTTCCCTAACATTAAACTTCCAAAACCACAAAGCACTCCTGGAAAAACTTATGGTCATGAGAAATTGACCTAAAAATAAAAAAGCATCTGTGGACTTTGGATTCTGAAAATTACAAAAAAAATTCTTTAGATAGAATTATCAATGAATTATTTTCATGTACTAGCCACCTAAAAAAATGTGCAGTAATTCTTCTCGGTATCCCTATTTAGTTCTCTTTCTCCCATTCACTAAAGTAGCCTTCTTAATATTAGTTTCCATTATGGGCTTTTCATTATCTTCCCATATCTTAAATATTGATATTCTATGGTATCCTGTCCTAGACTGCCATGTATTCCCATATAATATATGACCACAAATTCAAAACCCTACAGGAATCAGGCAGGTATTGCAAATGAGTTAAATAGGCTGAATAAGAACTGTACCAACCTGGATAGCACATTACCCACCTACATAAGGAAAGTTACTACTCATTTGCAGTTGATTATTGCCATACAGGAATGTTAGACTAGGACTGTTTCACCAAAAAGTCCAAATTTTTATCTTCATTCTACCAATTTTTAAATAATAGAAAGTCATAATTCAGAGCATATTTAAATGCTCTGATGGCCAAACAAAATATATCTATGAGTCATAATTAGTTCAATGGCTATTAGTTTGCTAACTTTTCTCTACATACTCTTTATGCACAATTTCATCTGTTCATCTGGTTTTAACAACCCAGTAAATTCTGATCTCTCTCATTACCTTCAGATCCATATATATCCCACCTCTTGCTATTCTTCTATACCAACTCCACTTGAAAGTCTTATAAACACATACAATTCAATGGAGCTAAAATTGAACTTATTATTTTACTCTCAACCTACTCAACCTCTTGCACTTTCACTAAATGGCACCATTGTACACCATTGCTCAAGGCAAACACTGGGAAGTCATCTTTAATTTTTCCCTATTATTATTCCTTCTTTTAAATATTTCTTTAATATGTTGGTTTATCTCCACTCCTACAACACCAACATAATTTTTACCAAGAACACAGTCTTTCTTTCTCTCCAATTATTTCTCCATACCTGCATTCAGGGTAGTACTCCTAAAATATAGATTTGATTGAGATCTGCTTGCAACCGTCAAAATCTAGCTCCCTATTAGTCTTTAAAGTCTGAACTTATCAAATTGGCTTACAAGACCTTTCATGTTATAAAACCTGATTACCTTCCAGCTTTATCCCTTGCTATCCTATCCACCAGCCATTCCAACAAACTATAAACTGCAGTACTTAAAATTTCTGGGCACAGAGCAGAAAATTATCTTATATTCCATCCTTTAAATATTCTGTTCCCTCTGCCCGGAATGTTCTTGTCCCTGGTATTTTACTCATCTAACTGAAACTCACCCCTTGGATCTCAGCATAGATGTAACAATCTTCACAGATACCACTTTGAGATCCCATGTCTATATTATAATAGATGTCCTTCTTATGGAATTGCCATATTATATTACCAGTATATTGTAATTGCCTTTTTATTTAACTTTGCCTCCATTAAACTGGAAGTCCCAGGAGGACAGAGATTATGTCTTCTCTGTTCATAGTTGTTTCTAGTATCTATCATATAATAGAGCTCAGTAAACATGCTTGAATGATGTTAAACATGAGTCTTACACTTTTATGATTTGATTATAAATTTCATGCTCAAATTTTAATCATATGTGGAAAAAAAGCTTACATTTTTTTAAAATGTTAGGGCTGCCCTACAGAAATAGCTGTTTCTATGCTATCACCTGGTATATATTTTCCCATATAAATATTTTTTAATGATAGTTTAGTTCTATGCTGTTATTTTATAAGGTATTCTTCAAATATCACTGTTTAAATGAAAAATTTGTCCCAGGTTCCAAATAACCAATATATACATTTTGGAAACCCAACTATTCATACTCTTGGGAATTGCCTCTAATTGCAATTAGAATAATTCACTAAAAATAGAAACAAGCTGAAAAATAAACATTAAATGAAAAGTATTTCAATAAGGACTTAAAATAGAAACAATCTCATATTTTTTTAGATAATTCTTGCATTTGTCCTACTTAGAAAATATATTATTAAAATTCATGGACTAAAATTATATTTATTAAATGAGTCTTCTTAATTAAATGCATATTTTATTACTGTCCCATACACTTGACACATATTAACAGGAAGTTACATACATTTTCTAATGTATCTCAAGAGGTAGAGAGCAATGAAAAGACAGTTCCAGGAGATTGGAAATTGGCATTTAAAATGTTATCTGTCACAGTGGAATTAGAATTCTATGGAACATATTTTTGGAAATCCGGTCTAAATGAATCAAGAGACATTCAGGAAGTGATGGTATGTGGTTTACTAATAATTTCTCAGAGATATTTCAAGAACATTTTCAGAGGCATGTACAACTCGATAAAACACAGGTTTATATATAAAATAGTAGATGCTATTCTAATGCTGAATCATGTGTATATTATGAAAAATAAAAATGCCTTATTTTAGCTCTTTAATTTCTCCTGATTTTAGCCTCCCTTATAATATACATTTTAAAAACTCTTCATTAGTCTTGAAATTGTATAGACTATATAAACACATTAAAATAAAGTATAAGTCACTAGTTCACGTAGTAATCTGAACCATGAAAAGGATTTGTTACATAAATGAATATAAGAACAGCATTGCAAGAGTGGTGAAATGTTTAATTTGCTTAAGATAACAAATTCTTCTCAATTACTTTAGCAGCATTCAACCTGAACACAAGTGATGCATCTATATATTTTCACTAATATTGAATTTATTTAAAAGTTTTATAACTGAATCTTCTCTTGTTCATCTAAGCCTGTATGTTTTTATCAATATCCTGAAACAATATTATGTAAAACTATTAAAATTCAGCCCTTTTATTGCTTTTATAGGACTAGGATTACAGGGGAAAAGGACCCTCCCAAATACCTAATAAAGTAACTTTGGGGGGAAACATAATTATTTATAGGATTAATGTTTTTAGAAATATTCACACAGAACAACAAAATGAGCAAAATAGCTCACACCAATTATCTTGAAAACATAAATGAAAGTTGTAAGTCAATAGCAGTGTATATGTAACAATTTATCATACTAATGCTTCAATAATGTCATCAATCATTTAGTATTTACTTTGGAAAGCACAGAAATAAGCCAAGTATGAAGAACAAGAAAAGAACAATAAACAAAAATCCTGCTCTGGAGCAGTTCCTAATCTAATGAGGGAGAAAGAATTATCATTAATAAAAGACCCATTCAGACATAATACAAAAGGAGTATCATGACAAGAGTATAACTAGTAACAACCTTCCTTATGAAGCAATATACATGCATATTGAAACATTAAGATTAGGTAAAATATTTATTTCCAGCGTCAAGCTTCACAAAAATAGGGTGTTTTAATCAGAATTTTGCAGAATAATTTTGTAACTTAGACTATATATGAGGCAGAAAATGAGTCAACTTCAAGTCAAACATCTTATCAAGGACCTAATATGTAGAGAGCATAAACGTGTTAAATAAAAGTTGTTTTTCTGATTAATAATTTTACTAGAAGAATTGCTTACGTATGTACTACAAATAGATGGTGATATAGTTTGGATATTTGTCCCTGCCCAAAGCTCATGTTGAATTGTAATCCCTAAATGTTCAAGGTGGGGCCTAGTGGGAGGTATTTGGATCATGGGAAGTGGATTTCTCTTGAATGGTTTAGCACCATCCCCTTAGGGCTCTTCTTGTAATAGTGAGTTCTTGCCATAGTAAGTGAGTTCTTGCAGTAGTGAATGAATTCTCGTGAGATCTTGTTGTTTGAAAGTGTGTGGCACCTCCCCCTAACTCCTCCTCTTGCTCCTGCTTTCATTATATGACATGCCTGCTCCTAACTTCTACCATGATTGTAAGCTTCCTGAGGCCTCCCTGGAAGCTAAGCAGATGCCAGCACCATGCTTCCTGTAAAGCCTGTAGAACCATAAGCCAATTAAACCTCTTTTCTATATAAATTACCTTGTCTCAGGGATTCCTTTATAGCAATGCAAAATGGCTGAATACAGATGGCTTGAAATTCCACAGAGTTTGATATTTGGAGAATTTCACATTTCACATGTACAGAAACTTAAATATCAGTGCCAAAGCCAAAGTGGTAATTGCCATCAATCATACACCCAAAAAACCTATGTATAACGTAACCTAAAAGATATTTGAGCCCTGAACAATATTTTAATGAGGCAAGAAAAGAACAAGCTACAAGCATTAAAATCATATGCAGTGATCATGATTATTTTTACATAACACAATTCATTCTCACTGAAAGTTGCTATACTAAGCTTGATTATAATGAAGTGAGATTTCCATGTATAACTTTTAGAATAAGCCTTACTATTTTGTCATCACATTTTTAGATATAAAGCTTAATTATTTATGGTATTTGGAAAGCCTAAAATATTGTAATATCTATTTTTAAAAGCTTTTATGGCTTTAAGTTATTTTACTGAACTTTTCACTCAAATTCATTATAAATTAGTAATAGACGTATCAAATAACTGTAATTTGACCTACATGTTACATAACTGTATGAAGTATTTAAGCCAATAAAGTGATATCCAAGTTCAAACTTACAGTTCAATTGCCTTGTTCCACATGATAACATATCCAGAAAGAATGAAAGATTCAATATTTACAATATGTGTATTTCCTCTTTCTGTTCCAACATAAAGCCATTTACTCTGGAAAGGTAGATGACAGTAAGTAATTCTGAAAGAAAGAAAATTATAATTAAAATATCTAAATTTTACATTTGGTCAGCATTATATTTTCCTTACATGTATTATGTAGTGATAGCTATATAAATAATAAAATGTACTATATACTCAAGTATAGCATGTAGTTATTCATTGAGAGTATAGGATAAATAATATTATAGCGTTAAAAACAATAATGTTAATAAGCACTATTAATAAGTGCCTATATGGGCATTAATTTACATTATTTCTAATTCTGAAAACAGCAAGACAGATATGTATTTCTGTTTTACAAAAATGAAACTGTGGCTGAATTTTTTTGTTTACTTGCCTAAGACCGCTAATAAGCAGCAAAACCGGGATTCTAATCCTTTCCTGTTTGGTTACAAAATTAACATCTTTCACTAAGCTACATTTTTTTCTATTTTTAAGATCATATTTGCTTCAAATACATGAATTTCATATTATATTTCGTAAACTTAATATTTACTTCAAATACATAAAGGTCATATTTGCTTCAAAACATAAATTTCAGAGTTCACAGAGAAGTGGTAGCTATGTCTACATGAGATGATAAATTATTTAGTTTTTATTCAGATGTTTGACATATAAGCAGTAAAAAGAAAACTTATAAAGTCAGAGCTTCACTGTATTTTTCCCTTCATTTTATTGTTCTGTTTTCATCTTCACAATGGGCTCTCTGACTAGCTCTAGGACCTGTTCCATAGCCAGAGCAATCATGACTCCTACATATTAAATATGGGAATTTACCAGAGTCCTCTATTCACAACATTATCACTCCTTCTAGTTTGGCCTAATCATGCTTTTTAGTTACTCCACAAAAGAGAAGGAGGATAAGTTCATAGTTATCTCTTGTCAGACAGACCAATAAATTTTTCAAAAAAAATGTGAATGACATATTTCCAATATGATATTGTCTTGTACTTCTTTATATAAGAATAAAAAGGCCAGGCGCGGTGGCTCATGCCTGTAATCCAAGCACTTTGAGAGGCCGAGGCAGGTGGATCATGAGGTCAAGAGATCAAGACCATCCTGGCCAACATGGTGAAACCCCGACTCTACTAAAAATACAAAAAATTAGCCGGGCGTGGTGGTGGGTGCCCATAGTCCCACCTACTTGGGAGGCTGAGGCAGGAGAATCACTTGAACCCAGGAGATAGGGTTACCATGAGCCGAGACTGTGCCACTGCACTCCAGCCTGGTGACAGAGCAAGACTCTGTGTCACAAAAAAAAAAAAAAAAAAGAAAAAGAAAAAAGAATAAAAGTGAACATCCAGTGTGTCCAATTTATATTCTCAGTCTGGTTCACTGAAGTTTTCAACAGTCTGTTTCTTTGAACCAAACTTCATATATTATTCAAAGTACCCTGCACACTACATTCAAAAAATTAAAAGCTCTGCTATTACATAAGCAATTACTATTGACAATAGTAATTGTGTAGCCTATATGATGTTGGAAAATTTTGATTAAAACCTAAAATCTAGAATTGCTGTTGCCAAGAGATATTTAATAATGTTGCACAGGAAATAACTTGATGGTCATGTTTCAAGGCAATGAAGAATCAATTTTCAATTCAATCTTAGGTAGAAAGAGGAAACTTACTTTAAAGAGGACTAAGATCATCCTTTCTGAATTACAGGGACAGTGGAAAAAACACTAATCCCATTAAAGAAGACATAAATATAGGGGTTCAAGTAGAAAAAAAGCAAACCTCAATATTACATAGTCACTTCCAGGGTTAAGAAGAAAAGTGTAAGAACTACCAGGTTTCAGTAATGAGACAGAACTAGAACTATTCCTTGAACTAGTAACTACTTTTTTCCTCATCCTTATTAAATAGAAACTAGAGCCTTTATATCAGACAGGTTTCACCTTATATTCAATGTCCAACTGATGAGTAGTGGTTACAACAACTAGATAAAGATTTTCAGGTTTTAACTGAACCCCCCCAAAAAGAGTAACAGGATTACTTAGAATGATTGCCATAGATAAAGGAAAAGATATACTAACACTTCTGCTGTATATTTGCTAGCTCTAATATATGATTAGTCAATACCTTTATACAACTTAATTTATTGTATTTTATAATTACACTTTCATTTGTAACTTATTTCTACCACCACTACCTGATAGATGAAGGATTTTTTCTACTGCATGTAAGCCTTGGAAAAATAATCTTATTCCTATATCAATATTAACTATCATTAAATAATCGAAGATATCCTTAGCTTTCCATCCATTCATCCATTTATTCAATCTTCACCGAATAACTCTTTATAAAAAAAGTATTGTTGCCGGGAGGGACCAAGATGATTGACTGGAAATAGCTGCGGTCGAAGGCTCCCACCGAGAAGAATGAAAACGGCGAGAGAAGAACGAAAACTGCAAGTGAATCCCGCACCGGCAACTGAGGTATCCAAATTCTCTCATTGGGACTGAATAGGCAGTTGGCACAACCCACAGAGAGCCAGCAAAAGCAGAGTGGAGCAACGGCCCACCTGGGAGCTGCAAGTAACAAGGGGAACTCCCACTCCCAGCCAAGCAAGGTGGTGAGTGTGCTACCTACCACCAGGAAAACCATGCTTTTTCCACGAATCTGTGCAACCTGCAAATCAGAAGATCCCCTTTGTGAGCCTATGTGACCAGGGCCTTGGGTCCCAAGAACAGAGCTGTGCAGATTCTTGGCGGTCGCTCAGCTAGAGACTAAGATTACCAAGTTCCTGAGGGGAGGGGCAGCTGCCATCATTGCAGCTGCCTGTTGCCTAAGATGACTGAGTCCTGGGGGGAGGGGTGGCAGCCATAAATGCAGCTCCATTCTGCCACTTTTTCCCTGCTGGTGCGAGGGAGACTGAGCGGTTTGGACTCAGGAGGAATTCTCCACAGTGTAGCACAGCGGCTGTGGTGGATCATGGCCATACTGCCTCTTTAAGCTGGACCCTGACCCATTCCTCCTCACTGGATGGGGGCCTCTCTGCAGGAATTTCAGAAACTCCAGCTAGGGATTTACAGACAGAACTCTGATCTCCCTGGGATAGAGCCCCTTGCAGGAGGGGCAGCCATGGTCTCTCTCCATGGATCAGTGGACTTAGTCTTTCCCCCGATGGCTCTGCAGAACCTGGGAAGTGCAGATGAGTGGGATTCCTCCCACCACAGTGCACCCCCTCTGCCAAAGCCCAGCCAGAGTGCTTCGTTAAGTGGATTCCTGATCCCATGCCTCTTGACTGGGTGAAACCCCCCAACAAGGGTCACCAGACACCTTATTTAGGACCATTCCTGCTGGAATAAGGTTGGTGCCCCTCTGGGATGGAGCTCCCAGAGAAAGTAGCAGGCAGTCATCCTTGCTGTTCTGCAGCCTCCACTGGTGACACCTTCAGGTGTGGGAGGGACCCAGGCAAATAGGGTCTGGAGTGGACCCCCAACAAACCAGAAGAGGGGCCTGACCGTTAAAAGAATAACAAATAGAAAGCAGCAACAACATTAACAAAAAAGTCCCCTCAAAAACCCCATCCAAAGGTCAGCAGCCTCGAAGACCAAAGCTAGATAAACTCATAAAGATGAGAAAGAATCAATGAAAAAACACTGAACACTCAAAAAGCAGAGTGCTTCTCCTCCTCCAAATTATTGCAACACCTCTCTGGCAAGGGCACAGAACTGGGCAGGGCTGAAATGAATGAATTGACAGAAGTAGGCTTCAGAAGGTGGGTAATAATGAACTTCACTGAGCTAAAGGAGCATGTTCTAACCCAATGCAAAGAAGCTAATAACCATGATAAAACATTACAGGAGCTGTTAACCAGAATAACCAGTTTAGAGAGGAACATAAATGACCTGATGGAGCTGAAAAACACAACATGAGAACTTCACAATGCACCCACAATTATTGATAGCCGAATAGACCAAGCGGAGGAAAGAATTTCAGAGCTTGAAGACTATCTTGATGAAACAAGACAGGCAGATAAGATTAGGAAAAAAAAGAAAAAGGAATGAAAAGGAATGAATAAAACCTCCAGGACCTATGGGGTTATGTAAAAAGACCAAACTTCTGACTGGTTGAAGTACCTGAAAGAGACAGGGAGAACAGGGCCAAGTTGGAAAACGTACTTCAAGATATCATCCACAAGAACTTCCCTAACCTAGCAAGAGAGGCCCACATTCAAATTCAGGAAATCCAGAGAACCCCAGTAAGATATTCCATAAGAAGATCAACCCCCAAGGCACATAATATCAGATTCTGTAAGGTCGAAATGAAAGACAAAATATTAAGGGCAGCCAGAGAGAAAGGCCAGGTAACCTACAAAGGCAAGTCCATCAGACTAACAGCAGACCTCTCAGCAGAAACCCTACAAGCCAAAAAAGATCAGGGGCCAATATTTAACAATTTTAAAGCAAAGAATACTCAACCCAGAATTTCATATATGGCCAAATGAAGCTTCATAAGTGAAGGAGAAATAAAATCCTTTTCAGACAAGCAAATGCTGAGAGAATTTGTCACCACCAGGCCCATCTTGCAAGAGCTCCCAAAGGAAGCACTAAATATGAAAACAAACAAGCAAACAAACAAACAAAAAACTGTTACCAGCTACTACAAAACCACACTGAAGTACAAAGACCAATGACTCTATAAGGCAACTACATCAACAAGTCTGCAAAATAACCAGTTGGCATCATGATGACTGGATCAAATTCACACATAACAATATTAACCTTAAATGTAAATGAGCTAAATGCCCCAATTAAAAGACACAGAATGGCAAGCTGGTAAAGAGTCAAGACCCATTGGTGTGCTATATTCAAGCGACCCTTCTCACATGCAGGGACACACATAGGCTCAAAATAAAAGGATGAGGGAAAATCTACCAGCAAATAAAAAGCAGAAAAAAGCAGGGGTTGCAATCCTAGTTTCTGACAAGACAGACTTTAAACCAACAAAGATCAAAAAAGACAAAGAAGGGCATTACATAATGGTAAAAAGTTCAATTCAACAAGAAGAGCTAACTATCCTAAATTTCTATGCCTCACTTCAAGAGCAACGAAATTTATAAAACAAGTTCTTAGAAACCTACAAAAAGATTTAGACTCCCACAATAATAATAGGAAACTTTAATATTTCACTGTCAATATTAGATCATTGACACAGAAAGTTGATAAGAATCTTCAGGACTCAAACTCAGCTCTGGCTTAAGTTGGTCTGGGTATCTACAGAACTCTCTATCCAAAAACAGCAGAATATACATTATTTTCAGCACCACATGGGACTTACTCTAAAATCAATCATTTAATTGGAAGTAAAACGTTCCTCAGCAAATACAAAAGAACTAAAATCATAACAGTCTCTCAGACCATAGAGCAATCAAATTAGAACTCAAGATTAAGAAACACAGTCAAACCCATACAACTAACTGGAAATGCAACGACATGCTCCTGAATGACTCCTGGGTAATGAAATTAAGGCAGAAATCAAGAAGTTCTGTGAAACCAATGAGAACAAATAAACAATACACTAGAATCTCTGGGACACAGAAAAAGCAGTGTTAAGAGGGAAATTTATAGAACTAAATGCCCACATCGAAAAGCTAGAAAGATCTCAAATCGGCACCATAATATCACGACTAGAGAACCAAGAGCAAACAAACCCCAAAGATAGCAGAAAACAAGAAATAACCAAGATCAGAGCAGAACTGAAGGCGATAGAGACATGAAAAACCCTTCAAAAAAGTCAACAAATCCAGGAGCTGGTTTTTTGAAAGAATAATGAAATAGACCGCTACCTAGACTAATAAAGACGGAAGAATCAAATTGATACAATAAAAAATGATAAAGGGGATATCACCACTGACCCCACAGAAATGCAAACAACTATCAGAGAATACTATAAACAAATAAATTAGTTTATTTGCACTAATTTATTTGCATACTATGCAAATAAATTAGAAAATCCAGAGGAAATGGATAAATTCCTGAACACATACAGCCTCCCAAGACTGAACCAGGAAGAAGTTAAACCCCTGAATAGACAAATAATGAGTTCTGAAACTGAGGCAGTAGTAAATAGCCTACCAACCAAAAAAAGCCCAGGACCAGACTGATTTATAGCTGAATTCTACCAGAGGTACAAAGCGGAGCTGGTACCATTTATTCTGAAACTACTTCAAACAAATTAAAAGGAAGGACTAGTGCATCAATCATTTTATGAGGCCAGCATCATCCTGATACCAAAACCTGGCAGAGATACAACTAAAAAAGAAACTTCAGGCCAATATCCTGATGAACATCAATGCAAAAACCCTCAATAAAATACTGGCAAACCAAGTCCAACAGCACATCAAAAAGTTTATCTACCACGATCAAGCTGGCTTCATCCCCGGGATGCAAGGCTGGTAACAACATATTCAAATCAATAAATGTAATTCATCATGTAAACAAAACTAAAGACAAAAAACCACAGGATTATCTTAATAGATGTAGAAAAGGCCTTTTATAAAATTCAACATCTCTTCATGTTAAAAACTCTCAATAAACTGGGTATTGATGGAACATAACTCAAAATAATAAGAGCCATTTAGAACAAACCCACAGCCAATATCATACTGAATGAGCAAAAGCTGGAAGCATTTCCCTTGAAAACCAGCACAAGACAAGGATGCCCTCTCTCACCACTCCTATTCAACATAGTATTGGGAGTTCTGGCCAGGGAAGTCAGGCAAGAGAAAGAAATAAAGCGTATTGAAATAGGAAGAGAGGAAGTCAAACTGTCTCTGTTTGTAGATAACATAATCGTACATATAGAAAATCCTATCGCTTCAGCCTAAAAGCTTCTTAAGCTGATAAGCAACTTCAGCAAAGTCTCAGCATACAAAATCAATGTGCAAAATCACAACCATTCCTATATACCAACAACAGACAAGCAGAGAGCCAAATCATGAATGAACTCCCATTCACAATTGCTACAAAGAGAATAAAATAACTAGGAATACAGCTAACAATGGATGTCAAGGAGCTCTTCAAGGAGAACTACAAACCACTGCTCAAGGAAATCAGAGAGGACATAAGCAAATGGAAAAAACATTCCATGCCCATGGGCAGGAAGCATCAATATTGTGAAAATGGCCATACTGCCTAAAGTAATTTAAAGATTCAATGCTATTTCCATTAAAATACCACTAACATTCTTCACAGAATTAGAAAAAACTACTTTAAAATTCATATGGAGCCAAAAAAGAGCCCATATAACCAAGAAAATTCTAAGCAAAAAGAAGAAAGCTGCAGGCACCATGATACCCAACTTCAAGCTATACCACAAGGCTATAGTAACCAAAACAGCACGGTACTGGTACCAAAACAGACACACCAATGGAACAGAATATAGATCTCAGAAATAAGACCACACATCTACAACCATCTGAACTTTGACAAACCTGACAAAAAGAAGCAATGGGGAAAGGATTCCCTATTTAATATATGGCACTGGGAGAACTGGCAAGCCACATTCAGAAAATTGAAACTGGATCCCTTCCTTAAAACTTATAAAAAAATTAACTCAAGATGGATTAAAGACTTAAATGTAAAACCCCAAACTATAAAAACTCTGGAAGAAAATCTAGGCAATACCATTCAGGACATAGGCACGGGCAAAGATTTCATGATGAAAACATCAAAAGCAATTGCAACAAAAGCAAAAATTAACAAACGGGATCTAATTAAGCTAAAGAGCTTCTGCCCAGCAAAAGAAACTAATGGGAGAAAATTTTTGCAATCTATCCATCTGACAAAGGTCTAACATCCAGAATCTACAAGGAATTTAAACAAATTTACAAGAAAAAAAAAACAAAGAATCCATTAAAAAGTGGGCAAAGACATGAACAGAAACTTCTCCAAAGATAACATCCATGCGTCCAAAAAACATGAAAAAAAGTTCAATATCACTGATCATTACAGAAATGCAAATCAAAACCACAATGTAATACCATCTCACTTCAGTCAGAATGGTGATCATTAAAAAGTCAAGAAACAACAGATGCTGGCGAGGCTGTGGAGAAATAAGAATGCTTTTATACTGTTGGTGGGAATGTAAATTAGTTCAACCATTGTGGAAGACAGTGTGACAATTCCTCAAAGACCTACAACCAGAAATACTATTTGACCCAGCAATCCCATTACTGGGTATATACCCAGAGGAATATAAATCATTCTATCATGAAGATATATACATGCATATGTTCATTACAGCACTATTCATTATACCAAAGACATGGAATCAACCCAAATGCCCATCAATGATAGTCTGGATAAAGAAAATATGATACATATACACCATGGAATACTATGCAGCCAAAAAAGAATGAGATCATGATCTTTGCAGGGACAAGGATGGAGCTCAAAGCCATTATCCTCAGCAAACTAACACAGGAACAGAAAACCAAACACCGCATGTTCTCACTTATTAAGTAGGAGCTGAACAATGAGAATACATGGGGAACAACACACACTGGGGCCTGTTGGCGGAGGTTGGGAGGGAGGGAAAGTGTCATAATAAATAGCTAATGCATGTAGGGCTCAATACCGATGTGATGGGTTTGTTAGGTGCAGCAAACCACCATGACACATGTTTACATATGTTAACAAACCTGGATGTCCTTCACATGTATCCCAGAACTTTAAATTAAATTTTTAAAAATGTATTGTCCCAGATTATACACACACATCCGTTTTTCTTCAAATCATACTATCTAACAGGAGAGACAAAACAAGCAGACAAGTAAGAAAAATAAAACTAAAATGTAATAATTTCTATAGACTCCAAAGAAGGAAGAGATTAATTACAGTAAGAAAAATCAAGAAAAGCTAATGTAGAGAGTTGTGTTTCAATTGGGCCATTAATGATCAAAACACAAAATAAATAAATTTTTCTCACTTTGAAAAATGGGCAGACCTTTGAATTTGTTTATATTCTTTACTTTTGACTTACTCTTAGAAATTTTACTTAGGTATAAAAACAAAATAAAATATAAATTTTTCACACTTATGGCTCTTTACACACATAAAACAAAAATTCCAAATTAATTACAAAAAACTACAACCAGAATTTAAATCAATATTAATTAATGTGACGTTGAATTTTTTTTACAGAAATAAAATAACCTCAAAATATGAATATGGTTCTAACTGCACAGGTTCTATTGAGTTTCATGTGTCCATACTTAGTTTGTACCTTTTCACTATATTTATCTATTCTAACAGCTTTTTTTTAAATCAAAAGTTATTTAAGGAATCTCCATACTGTTTACCAGAGTGGTTGTAGTAGTTTACATTCCCACCAACAGTGTAGAAGTGTTTCCTTTTCACCACATCCACGCCAACGCCTATTCTTTTTATTTTTTAATTGTGGCCATTATTGCAGGAGTAAGGTGGCATCACATTGTGGTTTTGATTTGCATTTCCCTGATAATTAGTGATGTTGATCATTTTTTCATGTTTCTTGGCCACTTGTACATCTTTTTATTTATTTATTTATTTATTTATTTTGAGACAGAGTCTCACTCTGTTGCCAGGCTGGAGTGCAGCGGCGTGATCTCGGCTCACTGCAACCTCTGCCTCCCAGGTTCAAGCGATTCTCCTGCCTCAGCCTCCCAAGTAGCTGGAACTACAGGAGCACGCCACCACACCCAGCTAATTTTTGTATTTTTAGTAGAGATGGGCTTTCACCATGTTGGCCAGGATGGTCTCCATCTCTTGACCTCGTGATACACCCACCTCGGCTTCCTAAAGTGCTGTGATTATAGGCATGAGCCACTGTGCCCAGTCCACTTGTACATCTTTTGAGAACTGTCTATTCATGTCCTTAGCCCACTTTTTGATGGGATTATTTGTTTTTATTTTTTTTCTTGCTGATTTGTTTGAGTTTATTGTAAATTCTGGATATAGTCCGTTGTCAGATGCATAGGTTGCCAAGATTTTCTCCCACTCTGTGGGTTGCCTGTTTACTCTGCTGATTTTTTCTTTTGCTGTGCAGAAGCTTTTTAGTTTAACTAAGTCCCATCTATTTATCTTTCTTTTTGTCGCATCTTGGTCATGAGCTCTTTGCCTACACCAATGTCTAGAAGAGTTTTTCCAATGATATCTTCTAGGATTTTTGTGGTTTCAGGTGTTAGATTTAAGTCTTTGATCCATCTTGAGTTGATTTTTGTATAAGGTGAGAGATGAGGATCCACTTTCATTCTCTATATGTGACTTGTCAATTATACCAGCACCACTTGTTGAATTGGGTGTTCTTTCCCACTTTATGTTTTTGTTTGGTTTGTCAAAGATCAGTTGGCTGTAAGTGTTTGGCTTTATTTTTGGGTTCCCTATTTAGTTCCATTTCCCTACATGCCTATTTTTATATCAGTACAATGCTGTTTTGTTAACTATAGTTTTGTAGTATAGTTTGAAGTCGGGTCATGTGATGCCTCCAGATTTGTTCTTTTTGCTTAGTCTTGCTTTGGTTATGCAGGCTCTTTTTTGGTTTCACATTAATTTTAGGATTGTTTTTTCTAGTTCTGTGAAGAATGATGATGGTATTTTAATGGGAATTGCATTGAATCTGTAGATTATTTTTGGCAGTGTGGTCATTTTCACAATATTGATTCTACCCATCCATGAGCATGAGATGTGTTTCTACTTGTTTGTATTCTATTATTTCTTGATTCTTTTGTCAGGATATTATTTGTTACCTACCATATAAGTTAAAATTATAACATTTTTATTATCTTGCCTGGATCAGGCAAGAAAAATATATGGTCAAAAGATTTCATGAGCAGTCATAAATTCATATGATGATTGACATATAGAAGATTTACTATTGTAATAAACACTTCACAGATACTATGTACCAGCATGTAGATGCTACAGACACATATCATCTGACACACTCATAGTCCTTCAGAAATTCATAATTAAAAATAATTTGACAGAACTGAATGATAAATATTTATTATTTTCGTTCACTTACGTAATACCCTGTCTGCAGTAAATACCCAAACATATTTCTTCACTAAAACTTAAGTGGCAAAACACTAAGAACTTTGTTTTGAAGACTGTTACTTAATTTTCTTTATCTGTTCTTAAAATAATCACCTAATCATCTAATTTTCTCTAACTTTTCTCTTAACCAACAGAAGTCATTTGTAATGCAAGCATTTTATGTCATATGTACTAAGCTTTATATTCTCTATACTGTCTTATCTTTTTATATATTCATATATGTTTATTTTGTGGTTTTTAAAAATAATTTCAACTTTTATTATAGATTCAGGAGGTACATGTATAGGTGTGCTGCATGGGTATATTGAGTGATGCTGAGGTAAGCACAGTACCCAACAGTCAATTCATTAACTCTTGCCCCCTAGTAGTCTCTAGTGTCTATTTTTGCCATCTTTTATCCAAGTACATCCAATGTTTAGCTCCGATGTATACTTGAGAACATGTGTTGTTTGGTTTTCTGTTCCTGTGTAAATTTTCTTAAGATAATGGCCTCCAGCTGCATCCAAATAGCTGCAAAGAACATGACTTCATTTTCTTTATGGCTGCATAATACTCTGTAGTGTATATGCACCAATTTTCTTCCTCCAATCCACTGTCAAGGGGCACCTGGGTTGATTCCATGTCTTTGATATTGTGAATAGTGCTGCAATGAACATACATGTGACATTTTGGTAGAACAATTTATTTTTCTATGGATATATACCCAGTAATGGGATTTCTGGGTCAAATGGTAGCTCAGTTTTGTTTGTGAAATCTCCAAACTGCTTTCCACAGTAGGTGAACTAGTAACATTCCCACCAAAGGTGTACAAACATTCCTTTTTCTCCACAGCTTTGCCAGCATTTGTGGTTTTTAGACTTTTTAATAATAGCCATTCTGATGGGTAGGAGATAATATCTCATTGTGGTTTTTGATTTGCATTTCTCTGATGATTAGTTATGTGGGGTATTTTTTCATTTTTGTTGAACACTTGTATGTCTTCTTTTGAGAAGTGTCTGTTAAGGTCTTTTGCCCAATTTTTAATGGGGTTATGTGTTTCTTGCTTGTTGAATTATCTAAGTACCTTATAGATCCTGGATATTTGACCTTTGTTTGATGCATAGTTTGTAAACATGTTCTACCATTCTGTAGTATATCTGTTTCTTCTGGTGACAGTTTATCTTGCTGTGCAGAAGTTCCTTAGTTTAATTAGGTCCCACTTGTCAATTTTTGATTTTGCTGTAATTGCTTTTGAAGACCTAGTCATAAATTCTTTCCCAAGGCCAATGTCCAGAATGATATTTCACAAGATTTCTAGGATTCTTATAGTTTGAGGTCTGATATTTAGAGCTTTAAACCCTCTTGAGTTAATTTTTGTGTATGGTAGAGGTCTAGTTCATTTTTCTGCATATGGGTAGCCAAGTATCACAGCACCATTTATTGAATAGGGAGTACTTTTCCCATTGGTTATTTTTGTTGACTTTGTCAAAGATCAGATGGCTGTAGGTGTGTGGCTTTATTTCTGGGTTCTCTATTCTGTTCCATTGGTCTATCTCTCTTTGTATACCTGTATGATGCTCTTTTGGTTACTGTACACTTACAGTAGTATAGTTTGAATCAGGTAATGTAATGTGTCTGGCTTTGTTCTTTTTGCTTAGGACTGATTTGGCTATTTGGGCTCTATTTTGGTTCCACATGAATTTATAATAGTTTTTTTCTAATTCTGTAAAGAATGACTCTGGTAGTTTGATAAGTATAGCATTGAATCTTTACATTGCTTTGGGAAGTATGGCCATTTTAACAATATTGTTCTTCCAATCCATAAGCATGAAATATTTTTCCATTTTTTTGTGTCACCTATGATTTCTTTCAGCTGTGTTTTGTGCTTCTCCTTAAAGAGATATTTCATATCTTGGGTTAGATGTATTCCTAGGTATTTTTTGCTTGTGACTATTGTATATGGGATTGTTTTCTTTGTTTGGTTTGCAGCTTGAACATTATTGGTAGATAGAAATGCTACTGACTTTGTATCCGGAAACTTTACTGAACTCATCAGTTCCACGAGCTTTTCAGTGGAGTCTTTAGGGTTTTCTAGGTATAGAATTATATCATCAGCAAAAAGACATAGTTTTTCTTCTTCTTTTCCTAGTTGGATGCCTTTTATTTCTTTCTTTTGCCTGATTGCTCTGGGTAGGACTTCCAGTACTATGTTGAATAAGAATGTTGAGAGTGAGCATCCTTGTCTCGTTCCAGTTCTCAAGGGGAATGCTTTCAGCTTTTGCCTGTTCAGTATGATATTGGCTATGTGTTTATCATAAATAGCTCTTACCATTCTATGGTATATATTCCTTCGTTGCCTAGTTTGTTGATGTTTCTTATTATGAAGAGATGTTAGATTTTATCAACAGCATTTTCTGTGTAAATTGAGATGATCATATGGTTTTTAAATCTTTTTATGTTGTGATTTATTGATTTGCATATGTTGAATCAACTTTGCATCCCAGGAATGAAGCCTAATTGATCATGGTGAATTAACTTTTTGTTGTGTTGTTGGATTCTTTTTCTTAGTATTCTGCTGAGGATTTTTGCATCTACGTTCATTGGGGATATTGGCCTGTATTGTCCTTTTTTCATTGTGTCTTTGCCAGGTTTTGGTATCAGTGTGATACTGGCTTCATAAAATGAGTAATAAAGGAGGTCCCTCTTCCCTGAATTTTGGAATAATATCAGAAGAACTGGAACCAGCTTTCTTTGTATGTCTGGTGGAATTTGACTGTGACTCCATCTTGTCTGGAGCTTTTTTTTTGTTTGGCAGATTTTTCACTACTGATTTAATTTTGGAACTTGATATTGGTCTGTTCAGGGTTTCAATTTCTTCCTGATTCATTCTTGGGAGGCTGTGCTTCCAGGGATTTATCCGTTTCCTCTAGATAACGTAGTTTGTGTGCATAGAGGTGTTCATAGCAGTCTTGGAGGATATTTTATGTTTTTGTGGGATCAGTTATAATGTCACCTTTGTTGCTTCTGATTGCTTATTTGGATCTTTCCTCTTTTTTTTCTTTGTTAATCTAGCTAGTGTTCTACCAATATTTATTCTTTCAAAGAACCAACTTTTTTTTTTTGTCGATATATTGTGTGGATTTTGGGGTCTTAATTTCATTTAGTTCTGCACTGATTTTAGTTCTTTCTTTTCCGATGCTAGCTTTAGGATTAGTTTGTTCTCGTTTTTCCACTTCCTCTAGATTTGATGTTAGATCATTAATTTGAGATCTTTATGACTTTTTGAGACAGGCATTTAGTACTATAAACTTTCCTCTTAACATTGCTTTTGTTGCATCCCAGAGATTTTAGTAAGTCATGTCTCTGTTTTCATTTATGTCAAATAATTTCTTTTATTTCTGCCTTAATTTCATTGTTTACCAAAAGTCAATCGGGAGCAAGTTTTTAAGATTTTCATGTAATTGTGTGGTAATAAAAGATCTTGGTATTGATTATTTTTATTCCACTGTTTTCTGAGAGTATGTTTGATATGATTTCAGTTTGTTTGAGTTTATTGAGACTTGTTTTATGGACCAGGATGTGGTCAAGTTTGGAGTATGTTCTGTGTGCAGAAGACAAGAGTGAGTATCCTATAGTTGATGGGTGGAGTATTATGTAGACATATATTAGTTTCAATTAGGTCAAGTGTTAAATTTAATCCAGAATTTCATTGTTAAGTTTTCTGCCTCAAGCATCTGTCTAACGCTGCCAATGGGGTTTTAAAGACCTCACTCTTATTGTGTAGCTGTCTAAGTCTTTTTATAGGTCTAGGGGTACTTGTTTTATAAATCTGGGTGCTCCAATTTGGGTGCATATATATTTGGGATAGTTAAATTTTCATGTCAAATTAACCCCTTTATCATTATGTAATGTCCTTCTTTATCCTTTTATACGGTTGTTGGTTTAAAGTCTGTTTTATCTGATATGAGAATAGGAACTACTTTTTTGTTTTCGATTTGTGTGACAGATATTTCTCCAACCCTTTCCTTTGAGCCTGTGGGTCCTGTTAGGTGTGCAATGGGTCTCTTGAAGACAGCAGAGAGATGAGTCTTGCTTTTTTCATCTACCTTGCCACTCTATGCCTTTTAAGTGGGGCATTTTTAAGGACTGCAAATACTTGAAAGCTTTTCCACATTCCTTAAATTTGCAGGGTTTTCTTGCAGATGCACAGCAAGGCTTGGAGTCAGGGTGAAGACTTTTGCAAACTAATTAAACTAAGGAAGCTCCTGTCCAATAGAGGTTTTCTTCTGCAGAGTATGGATGTCTTTTCTACACCAGTTACACTCAGAAGTGTTCCCTCTATTCTGAGCTCTCATGTGTGTCATATTGATTGATATTGGTCTGTTCAGGGTTTCAATTTCTTCCTGATTCATTCTTGGGCATAAGTGTTCACTGAAGTTTTCTCTACAATTCTTACAATCACAGAGTTCCCCTCTATTGTAGCTTCTTGAAGAACTCCACTCTGAACTGTCTTCAACTCTTTTTATTGTAACCAAGAGATCAGGCTGTGTATAAAGAGCTGAAATCTTACTGAGCCCAGGTGCTTGCAGTTCTCCAGTATCATGTATCTGCAGAGGTATCTCTGAATCATGTCCAGTAAAGTTCACTCCTCTGGGTGAACTCCATAGTCATATCATAAAAGTTCACTGAACCCTGATACCAATTTGGCAGACAGTCACCCACCAACCTTTCTATTATATCTTTGTCTTTTTCTCATAAAGGCAGATTGGTTCCCTGGTAAGGAAGCCACAGGACAAATCAATGGCTGCCATGCTGTGAGGCTGATGGTGAAATGTACCTGAATTCTCCCTTTATTGATACCAAGATCATTTTGGGGAAGCTTACGAATGTATATAGATAGAGGCAATCTCTATCTCTCTCTATATATACAGGGTTATTTGGAGTCCAGAATGCACCAGAATTGCAGGATCTGTGAGGTGGGAGGATGCTGGGGACCATGATAATGTGCCTGAAATGGAGAAAATTATTTTCTTTCTGGAAAAAAAAATTCACAATAACTTCCTTGGAGGCTTTTGAAGGGAGTAAAGTGGATGCTCCCTACAGACATGCCAATTATAAACTGGATTCCTTGTAGGGAACAATGGCCAGAGTGGTCTTTTGAACCTGGCCACATCAGGAGGACCCATCATCCTTGCAGATGCAAGTGGAGCAGGCCAGGCCAACCCTACAAAGGTATTCCCGACAAAACTTGAACTTTAGCATTCCATTCCACAGCTGAGCCACTTCATTTCTCTGGCCTCATAATACGGTTTGAGTGTGTGTCCCCTCCAAATCTCATGTTGAAATGTGATGTCTGATGTTGGAAATGGGTATAGTGTTTGGGTCATGGAGGCAGATCTCTCTGCCTTGATGACTAATCTTATAGAGTCAGAACTCACTCATTATCATGAGGACAGCACCACCATGGCATGGTACTGTCTTCACGATAATGAGGGAGTTCTTACCCTGTAAGTTCATATGAGACCTAGTTGTTTAAAAGAACCTGGCACCTCCTGCCTCTCTCTCTTGCTCCCTGTCTAACCACATGATACTCTGCTCCTCCTTCTCCTTCCACCATGATTGTAAGCTTTCAGAGGTGCTCACCAGAAGCAGATGCTGACATCCCACTTCCTGTACAGCCTGCAGTACTGTGAGCCAAAATACATATCCCCTTCTACTGAAAAAGGGCAGTCATCAAACAATCTCCACCAATTTTCAAACCAACTCTAAAAAACATATCAAGATATTAGATAATATAATGTGCTTTCCACATTTCTTGATATCAGTACCGTAGGTTGAACAGAAAATTATACTAATAGGGATACATAGAAAATTCTGCATTTTCATTTAAAAAACATCAACTGCTAAAGTATATGATTGAAAAACTGTTTAACAATGGTTAAAATAGAAAAAAAAATGGGAGTATTGCTTGGCTTTACGTTCAACGTAAACCAACAGTATAACCCCTCTATAACCAAGATTACAAAATTAAATGTAATCTTAAGTATAATATATTCAGTAATGGCATCCATTGTATTAGATCACATTTCAATTAGTTCCATTTGATATGCAACAAGCTTAAAAAATACTGGCAAACAAGGGGATAGCTGGCAAAATGGCCGAATAGGAACAGCTCTGGTCTGCAGTTCCCAGCGAGATCGACACAGAAGGTGGGTGATTTCTGCATTTCCAACTGAGGTACCCGGTTCATCTCACTGGGAATGGTTGGATGGTGGGTGCAGCTCACGGAGGGTGATCTGAAGCAGGGTGGGGCATCGCCTCACCCAGGAAGTGCAAGAAGTCGGGAAATTTTCTCCCCTAACCAAGGGAAGCCATGAGGGACTGAGCCTGAGGAAGGGTGCACACTCCAGCCCAGATACTGCATTTGTCCCATGGTCTTTGCAACCCCGCAGACCAGGAGGTTCCCTATGGTGCCTACCCCACCAGGGCCCTGGGTTTCGAGCACAAAACTGGGTGGCCATTAGGGAAAACACTGAACTAGCTGCAGGTGTTTTTCTTTCCATACCCCAGTGGCTCCTGGAATGCCAGCAAGACAGAACCGTTCACTCCCCTGGAAAGGGGTGCTGAAGTCAGGGAGCCAAGTGGTCTGGCTCGGTGGGTCCCACCCCCACTGGCTTGAAATTCTCACTGCCAACACAACAGCAGTCAGAGATCAACCTGGGACAATTGAGCTTGGTGTGGGGAGGGGCATCCACCACTGGTGCAGCTTGAGTAGCCAGTTTTAAGCTCACAGAGTAAACAAAGCAGCCAGGAAGTTTGAACTGGGCAGAGCTGAGCAAGGCTGCTGTGGCCAGACTGCCACATTTCTCCTCTCCGGGCAGGGCATCTCTGAAAAAAAGGCAGCAGCCCCCATAAGGGACATATAGACAAAACCCCCATGTCCCTGGGACAGAGCACCTCGGGGAAGGGGCTGCTGTGGGCACAACTTCAGCAGACTTAAACATCCCTGCCTGACAGCTCTGAAGAGAGCAGTGGACTCCCAGCAGAGTGTTTGAGCTATACTAACCATCAGACTGCCTGCTCAAGTGGATCCCTGACCTCCATACCTCCTGAATGGGAGACACCTCCCAGTAGGGGCTGACAGAAACCTCATACAGGAGAGCTCTGGCTGGCAACTGGTAGGTTCCCCTCTGGGACAAAGATTCCAGAGGAAAAAACAGGCTTTTTTTTTTCTTTCGCTGTTATGCAGCCGCCCCTGGTTATACCCAGGCAAATAGCGTCTGTAGTGGACCTCCAGCAAACTCCAGCCAACCTGCAGCAGAGGGGCCTGACTGTTGGAAGAAAAACTAACAAACAGAAACGAATAGCACATCCACTCAAAGACCCCATCAGAAGGTAACCAAAATCAAGGACCAAAAGTAGATAAATCCATGAAGATGGGGAGAAACCAGTGCAAAGTGGCTGAAAATTCCAAAAACCAGAACACCTCTTCTCCACGAAAGAATCACAGTGTCTCGCCAGCAACAGAATAAAACTAGATGGAGAATGAGTTTGATTAACTGACAAAAGTAGGCTTCAGAAAGTGGGTAACAACAAACTCCTCCAGGCTAAAGGAGCATATTCTAACCCAATGCAAGCAAGCTAAGAAGCGTGAAGAAAGGTTAGAGGAGGAGGTGGTTCCAAGATAGCCAAATATGAACAGCTCCAGTCCACAACTCCCAGCATGAGTGATGCAGAAGATGGGTGATTTCTGCACTTCCAACTGAGGTACCGGGTTCATCTCACTGGGGATTGTCAGACAGTGGGGGGCAGGATAGTGGGTACAGCCCACCAAGCAAGAGCCGAAGCAAGGTGAGGCATCGCCTCACCCAGGAAGCACAAGGGGTCAGGGAATTGCACTTCCTAGCCCAGAGAAGCGGTGACAGACACTAACAAAAAGAAAGGACAACCACACCAAAACCCCATCTGTACGTCACCATCATTGAAGACCAAAGGTAGATAAAATCACAAAGATGGGGAAAAAACAGAGGGGAAAAGCTAAATATTCTAAAAATCACAGTGCCTCTCCCCCTCCAAAGGAACACAGTTCCTCACCAGCAACAGAACAAAGCTGGATGGAGAATGACTTTGACGAGTTGAGAGAAGAAGGCTTCAGACGATCAAACTTCTCCGAGCTAAAGGAGGAAGTTCGAACCCATCGCAAAGAAGTTAAAAACCTTGAAAAAAGAATAGACGAATGGCTAACTAGAATAACCAATGTACAGAAGTCCTTAAATGACCTGATGGAGCTAAAAACCATGGCATGAGAACTATATGATGAATGCACAAGCTTCAGTAGCCGATTCGATCAGCTGGAAGAAAGGTTATCAGTGATTGAAGACCAAATGAATGAAATGAAGCGAGAAGAGAAGGTTAGAGAAAAAAGAGTAAAAAGAAATGAACAAAGCCTCCAAGAAATATGGGACTATGTTTAAAGATCAAATCCACATCTGATTGGTGTAACTGAAAGTGACGGGGAGCATGGAACCACGTTGGAAAACACTCTGCAGGTTATTATCCAAGAGAACTTCCCCAACCTAGAAGGACAGGCCAACATTCAAATTCAGGAAATACAGAGAATGCCACAAAGATACTCCTCGAGAAGAGCAACTCCAAGACACATAAGTGTCAGATTCACCAAAGTTGAAATGAAGGAAAAAATGTTAAGGCAGCCAGAGAGAGAGGTCGGGTTACCCACAAAGGGAAGCTCGTCAGACTAACAGCGGATCTCTCGGCAGAAACTCTACAAGCCAGAAGACACTGGGGGCCAATATTCAACATTCTTAAAGAAAAGAATTTTCAACCCAGAATTTCATATCCAGCCAAACTAAGCTTCATAAGTGAGGCTTTACAGACAATGCTTTACAGATATGCTTTACAGACAAGCAAATGCTGAGAGATTTTGTCACCACCAGGCCTGCCCTAAAAGAGCTCCTGAAGGAAGCACTAAACATGGAGAGGAACAACCAGTACCAGCCGCTGCAAAATCATGCCAAAATGTAAAGACCATCGAGACTAGGAAGAAACTGCATCAACTAACGAGCAAAATAACCACCTAACATCATAATGAAAGGTTCAAATTCACACATAACAATATTAACTTTCAATGTAAATGGACTACATGCTCCAATTAAAAGACACAGACTGGCAAATTGGATAAGGAGTCAAGACCCATCAGTGTGTTGTATTCAGGAAAACCATCTCACGTGCAGAGACACACATAGGCTCAAAATAAAAGGATGGAGGAAGATCTACCAAGCAAATGGAAAACAAAAAAAGGCAGGGGTTGCAATCCTAGTCTCTGATAAAACAGACTTTAAACCAACAAAGATCAAAAGGGACAAAGAAGGCCATTACATAATGGTAAAGGGACTAATTCAACAAGAAGAGCTAACTATCCTAAATATATATGCACCCAATACAGGAGCACCCAGACTCATAAAGCAAGTCCTGAGTGACCTATAAAGAGACTTAGACTCCCACACAATAATAATGGGAGACTTTAACACCCCACTGTCAACATTAGACAGATCAACGAGACAGAAAGTCGACAAGGATACCCAGGAATTGGACTCAGCTCTGCACCAAGCGGACCTAATAGACATCTACAGAACTCTCCACCCCAAATCAACAGAATATACATTTTTTTCAGCACCACATCACACCTATTCCAAAATTGACCACATAGTTGGAAGTAAAGCTCTCCTCAGCAAATGTAAAAGAACAGAAATTATAACAAACTGTCTCTCAGACCACAGTGCAATCAAACTAGAACTCAGGATTAAGACACTCACTCAAAACCGCTCAACTACATGAAAATTGAACAACCTGCTCCTGAATGACTACTGGGCACATAACAAAATGAAGGCAGAAATAAAGATGTTCTTTGAAACCAACGAGAACAAAGACACAACGTACCAGAATCTCCGGGACACATTTAAAGCAGTGTGTAGAGGGAAATGTATAGCACTAAATGCCCACAAGAGAAAGCAGGAAAGATCCAAAATTGACACCCTAACATCACAATTAAAAGAACTAGAAAAGAAAGAGCAAACACATTCAAAAGCTAGCAGAAGGCAAGAAATAACTAAAATCAGAACAGAACTTAAGGAAATAGAGACACAAAAAACCCTTCAAAAATTAATGAATCCAGGAGCTGGTTTTTTGAAAGGATCAACAAAATTGATAGACGGCTAGCAAGACTAATAAAGAAAAAAAGAGAGAAGAATCAAATAGAAGCAAGAAAAAATGATAAAGGGGATATCACCACTGATCCCACAGAAATATAAACTACCATCAGCGAATACTACAAACAGCTCTACGCAAATAAACTAGAAAATCTAGAAGAAATGGATAAATTCCTCGACACATATACCCTCCCAAGACTAAACCAGGAAGAAGTTGAATCTCTGAATAGACCAATAACAGGAGCTGAAATTGTGGCAATAATCAATAGCTTACCAACCAAAAAGAGTCCAGGACCAGATGGATTCACAGCCGAATTCTATCAGAGGTACAAGGAGGAACTGGTACCATTCCTTCTGAAACTATTCCAATCAATAGAAAAAGAGGGAATCCTCCCTAACTCATTTTATGAGGCCAGCATCATCCTGATACCAAAGCCGGGCAGAGACAAAACCAAAAAAGAGAATTTTAGACCAATGTCCTTGATGAACATTGATGCAAAAATCCTCAATAAAATACTGGCAAACCGAATCCAGCAGCACATTAAAAAGCTTCTCCACCATGATCAAATGGGCTTCATCCCTGGGATGCAAGGCTGGTTCGATATATGCAAATCAATAAATGTAATCCAGCATATAAACAGAACCAAAGGCAAAAACCACATGATTATCTCAATAGCTGCAGAAAAGGCCTTTGACAAAATTCAACAACTCTTCATGCTAAAAACTCTCAATAAATTAGGTATTGATGGGACATATCTCAAAACAATAACAGCTATCTATGACAAACCCACAGCCAATATCATACTGAATGGGCAAATACTGGAAGCATTCCCTTTGAAAACTGGCACAAGACAGGGATGCCCTCTCTCACCACTCCTATTCAACATGGTGTTGGAAGTTCTGGCCAGGGCAATTAGACAGGAGAAGGAAATAAAGGGTATTCAATTAGGAAAAGAGAAAGTCAAATTGTCCCTGTTTGCAGATGACATGATTGTGTATCTAGAAAACCCCACTGTCTCAGCCCAAAATCTCCTTAAGCTGATAAGCAACTTCAGCAAAGTCTCAGGATGCAAAATCAATGTACAAAAATCACAAGCATTCTTATACACCAATAACAGACAAACAGAGAGCCAAATCATGAATGAACTCCCATTCCCAATTGCTTCAAAGAGAATAAAATACCTAGGAATCCAACTTACAAGGGACGTGAAGGACCTCTTCAAGGAGAACTACAAACCACTGCTCAATGAACTTAAAGAGGATACAAACAAATGGAAGAACATTCCATGCTCATGGGTAGGAAGAATCAATATCGTGAAAATGGCCATACTGCCCAAGGTAATTTATAGATTCAATGCCATCCCCATCAAGCTACCAATGACTTTCATCACAGAATTGGAAAACACTACTTTAAAGTTCATATGGAACCAAGAAAGAGCCCGCATTGCCAAGTCAGTCCTAAGCCAAAAGAACAAAGCTGGAGGCATCATGCTACCTGACTTCAAACTATACTACAAGGCTACAGTAACCAAAACAGCATGGTACTGGTACCAAAACAGAGATATAGACCAATAGAACAGAGCCCTCAGAAATAACGCTGCATATCTACAACTATCTGATCTTTGACAAACCCGAGAAAAACAAGCAATGGGGAAAGTATTCCCTATTTAATAAACGGTGCTGGGAAAACAGGCTAGCCATATGTAGAAAGCTGAAACTGGATCCCTTCCTTACACCTTATACAAAAATTAATTCAAGATGAATTAAAGACTTAAATGTTAGACCTAAAACCATAAAGATCCTAGAAGAAAACCTAGGCATTACCATTCAGGACATAGGCATGGGCAAGGACTTCATGTCTAAAACACCAAAAGCAATGGCAATAAAAGACAAAATTGACAAATGGGATCTAATTAAACTAAAGAGCTTCTGCACAGCAAAGGAAACTACCATCAGAGTGAACAGGCAACCTACAACATGGGAGAAAATTTTCGCAACCTACTCATCTGACAAAGGGCTAATATCCAGAATCTATGATGAACTCAAACAAATTTACAAGAAAAAAACAACCCCATCAAAAAGTGGGCGAAGGACATGAACATACACTTCTCAAAAGAAGACATTTATGCAGCCAAAAAACACATGAAAAAATGCTCACCATCACTGGCCATCAGAGAAATGCAAATCAAAACTGCAATGAGATATCATCTCACACCAGTTAGAATGGCAATCATTAAAAAGTCAGGGAACAACAGGTGCTGGAGAGGATGTGGAGAAATAGGAACACTTTTACACTGTTGGTGGGACTGTAAACTAGTTCAACCATTGTGGAAGTCAGTGTGGCGATTCCTCAGGGTTCTAAAACTAGAAATACCATTTGACCCAGCCATCCCATTACTGGGTATATACCCAAAGGACTATAAATCATGCTGCTATAAAGACACATGCACATGTATGCTTATTGTGGCACTATTCACAATAGCAAGGACTTGGAACCAATCCAAATGTCCATCAATGATAGACTGGATTAAGAAAATGTGGCACATATACACCATGGAATACTATGCAGCCATAAAAAATGATGAGTTCATGTCCTTTGTAGGGACATGGATGAAATTGGAAAGCATCATTCTCAGTAAACTATCACAAGAACAAAAAACCACACACCGCATATTCTCACTCATAGGTGGGAATTGAACAATGAGAACACATGGACACAGGAAGGGGAACATCACATTCTGGGGACTGTTGTGGGGTGGGGGGAGGGGGGAGGGATAGCACTGGGAGATATACCTAATGCTAGATGACACGTTAGTGGGTGCAGCACACCAGCATGTCACATGTATACATATGTAACTAACCTGCACGTTGTGCACATGTACCCTAAAACTTAAAGTATAATAATAAAAAAATAAAAAATAAAAAAAATTCATACCATCTGAGGCACTAATTGTGTCCCCATGAAGTAAAGCTAAACTGTACATGATCAACAATGTTATTAGTACAAATAAATGACCAAAAATGATTACTCTTAGGTACAAAAATTTTTAGACAATTCAGATCTGTATATACCTCCTTTAGAGACTTTAAAATATTTTAATCATAATTAACTAAACTCATTCCCTTTCTGTTCCACAGGAGCAAAAGCCATGATTTCTGGCAGAGGTATGGAAGTCTATTTTCATGCTCCTGAACAACAGAAATAATATTTTCTACATCTATATGGATAAAATATTTCAATTTCTGAATGAGAATTGGGTTAGTAGAATCCATTTGAGGAGCAGTAAGGAGGTACTCTTATTCTTCCTTGTAAGAGGGGTAAAAGAGGAGGCATAGTGGAGAGCCAAAAATCCCACCCCACCCAGCAGCTACAAGGTGTCTCTCCCTATCTAAGATGTCAGTGAGTTTAAATGGAGCACCTGAACTTCAATTCCCACCTATCATTAATAACACAACATCTGACCTTCCCCTGCCAGACCAATGTCAAATACAACCACCTAAAAAAGGGGTTTAAATAAAAACTGAAACCTCATAACAATGCCTGGAATGTCCAGGTTTTAATTTAAAAATCACTTATTATAATAGGAAATAGAAAAACCTCAATTTGAATGAAAAAAGGCAATAGTTACTAGCAGCAAGATGACATAGATATTAGAATTTGCTAACAAATATTTAAAAGAAGTAATCATGAAAAGGTTTCAACAAGTACAGACACATATGAAACAAATAAAAATATAAAGTATAAGCAAAGAAAAAGTAAGTAAAAAGAACCAATTACAAATTTTACTACTTAAAATATAATGAAGAAAATTTAAAATTCTGTGGATAAGCTAAACACCAGAATAACAAGGACAGACATAAGAGCCAGTGGCCTAGAGGATGTAATAATATTTATTCACCAATCTGAAAAAACAAATAATATAAGTAAAAAAATACCAGAGCTTCAGAAACCTATGGGACAAAACCAATAGATCTATCAATCATATTATCAGGATAACGGAATGAAAGGAAAAGAGGATGAGACTGAAAAAGCAGTTGAATAAACAATGGCTAAAAAATGCAAGAAGCTGAGCAAAACTAAACGGAATAAACCCAGAGAAATAAACAGTCAGACAAATCACAGCCAATTATCTGAGATAAAAACAAGGAAGAAAAGAAAAAAAAAATCTTTAAAGCAGCAAGAGAAAAAACAACACCTTAACTATGGGAGAAAATTTCCAATGACAGTAGATTTCTCATCAGAAACCACAGAGACCAGGAGGAAGTAGAATGCTATTCAGGTGTATAAAATGAAAAACAAAGAAAAACTACCAACCTAGAATTCTATATTAAGCAAAATTATCCCTCAGGTATGAAGAAATTATGACATTATCAGGTAAAGGAAAACTAAAAATTTTTTCTTTAAAAGACCAATAAAAAATTGCTTTATGGAGTTTTCTAAACAGAAAAATATCTAATAGAAGAAACTTTTAAAAATCAAGTATGGGAAAAAAGAGACAGTAAAAATATAATAAATGTACTATGTATATACTAAGTGTATTTATATATTTTTTTCCTTCTCCTCTTGGAGCTTCTTTTTTTTTTTTTTTTTTTTTTTTTTATTATACTCTAAGTTTTAGGGTACATGTGCACATTGTGCAGGTTAGTTACATAGGTATACATGTGCCATGCTGGTGTGCTGCACCCACTAACGTGTCATCTAGCATTAGGTATATCTCCCAATGCTATCCCTCCCCCCTCCCCCGACCCCACCACAGTCCCCAGAGTGTGATATTCCCCTTCCTGTGTCCATGTGATCTCATTGTTCAATTCCCACCTATGAGTGAGAATATGCGGTGTTTGGTTTTTTGTTCTTGCGATAGTTTACTGAGAATGATGGTTTCCAATTTCATCCATGTCCCTACAAAGGACATGAACTCATCATTTTTTATGGCTGCATAGTATTCCATGGTGTATATGTGCCACATTTTCTTCATCCAGTCTATCATTGTTGGACATTTGGGTTGGTTCCAAGTCTTTGCTATTGTGAATAGTGCCGCAATAAACATACGTGTGCATGTGTCTTTATAGCAGCATGATTTATAGTCCTTTGGGTATATACCCAGTAATGGGATGGCTGGGTCAAATGGTATTTCTAGTTCTAGATCCCTGAGGAATCGCCACACTGACTTCCACAATGGTTGAACTAGTTTACAGTCCCACCAACAGTGTAAAAGTGTTCCTATTTCTCCACATCCTCTCCAGCACCTGTTGTTTCCTGATTTTTTAATGATTGCCATTCTAACTGGTGTGAGATGATATCTCATAGTGGTTTTGATTTGCATTTCTCTGATGGCCAGTGATGATGAGCATTTCTTCATGTGTTTTTTGGCTGCATAAATGTCTTCTTTTGAGAAGTGTCTGTTCATGTCCTTCGCCCACTTTTTGATGGGGTTGTTTGTTTTTTTCTTGTAAATTTGTTTGAGTTCATTGTAGATTCTGGATATTAGCCCTTTGTCAGATGAGTAGGTTGCGAAAATTTTCTCCCATGTTGTAGTTTGCCTGTTCACTCTGATGGTAGTTTCTTTTGCTGTGCAGAAGCTCTTTAGTTTAATTAGATCCCATTTGTCAATTTTGGCTTTTGTTGCCGGAGCTTCTAAATTATATTTGATGGTTAAAGCTGAAATAACATAGTCTGATGTGGTTCATAATATATATAGGGAAAAACAATAAAATTTATTATAAATGAGAGAAGTAAAGGGAAGTAAAGAAAGGAAAAGTCTCTGCATTTCATTCAAACTGGTAATTTGTAGCAGCAGTAGATTCCAGTAAGTTGTTTGTATATAATAAAATACCTATAGCAACCTCTTTAAAAAGTGATACAAAGAAATACACTAAAATTAACTAATAATAAGTCAAAATGGAATTCTAAAAAGTGTTCAATTAAACCACAGAAAGGCAAGGGGAAAAAAGCAGAGCAATAACAAATAGAACAACCAAAAAACAAAAAATAAAATGGAGAACCTAAGCCCTAATATATCAATAATTATATCTAATGTAAACATTAATTAAAATATATAGACTGACAGAATGAATTAAAAACCATGACCCAACTATACGCTTGTCTATAAGAAATACACTTTGAATATATTAACATAGCTAACTTTAAAGTATAAGAATAGACAAAGATATATCGTGCAAACATGAATCACTAGAAAGAAGACACTATATTATGTTAGATAATGAAAATTTCACAGTAAAGGAAATTATGAGATAGAGAGGGACACCAAATAATAATAAAATGGTCACTCTACCAAGAAGATATAGCAACCCTAAATGTGAATGCACCAAACAGGCTGCAAAATACATTAAATAAAACATGACAGAACTGAAAGGAGGAAAAAGAAATCCATGATTCTTGTAGGAGACTTCAATACCTCTCTCTCAGCAATTATTAGAACAACTAAAGAGAAAATCAGTAAGGATATAGAATGCAAGAAAATCATAACCCTATAGAATCTAATCAACTTTTACAGAATAATCTGTCAACAACAGCAAAATAGACATTATTTTTCTAGCATACACAGAACATACACAAAGATGAGCTACATCCTGGGGTTGAAAAACAAACCTCAACAATTTTAAAATAACTCAAGTTATATAAAATATTTTCTCTGAGTACAATGGAATCAAACTAGAAATCAGTAAAAGAAAGATACAATAAAATCTCCAAGTACTTGGAAATAAGAAAAACACTTCCAAACACAGTCATGCATCACTTAACAATGGGCATAAGTTCTGAGAAATGCATCATTAGGTGATTTTATCATAGTGCAAACATCGCTCTTATATAGAGTGTAAGTACTTACACTAACCTAGATAGTACACCTTTTTATACAGATAGATTACATGGTACAGGTTGAGTATCCCAAAACCCAAAATCCAGAGTGCTTAAAAATCCAAAACTTTTTAAGCATTAACATGACACTCAAAGGAAATGCTCATTGGAACATTTAGGATTTTGAATTTTCAGGTTTGGGATGCTCACCTGGTAGGAATAATCTCAACATTCCAATATTCAGAAAAATCTAAAATCCAAAACACTTCTGGTCTCAAACATTTTGGATAAGGAATGCACAACTTGTATAGCCTATTGCTCCTAGGCTACAAACCTGTACCGTATGTTACTGTAGTGAATACTGTAGGCAATTGTTACATAATGGTAAACATTTGTGTATCTAAATATTTAAATATAGAAAAGGGCAATGCATTGTGCTATAATGTTACAATGGCTATGAACGCATGAGGCAATAGAAATTTTTCAGCTTCATTATCCTCTTTTATATGTAGTCCATCATTGACCAAAACATGATAATATCATGCCTTATTGTAATCTTTGTGTCTAAGAAGTCACAATAAAATTTTTAAAAATATAATGAACTGAATAAAATTGGAAATATAAACATTTGTCAGATATAGCTAAAAGACTGCCAAGAGGGAAATGTGTAGTGCTAAATACATTTAAAAAGAAAAAAGTCTTTAATCCATCTTGGGTTAATTTTTCTATAAGGTATAAGGAAGGGGTCCAGTTTTAATTTTCTGTATGTGTCTAGCCAGTTTTCCCAGCAACATTTATTAAATAGGGAATTATTTCCCCATTGCTTTTGTTAGGTTTGTCTAAGATCAGATGTAGATGTGTGGTCTTATTTCTGAGATCTTTATTCTGTTCTATTGGTCTATGTGTCTGTTTTGGTACCAGTACCATGTTGTTTTGGTTACTGTAGCCTTGTGGTATAGTTTGAAGTCAGTGTGGTGCCTCCAGCTTTGTTCTTTTTGCTTAGGATTGTCTTGGCTATGTGGGCCCTTTTTTGGTTCTATATGATTTTTAAAGAATTTGTTTCTAATTATGTGAAGAATGTCAATAATAGTTTAATGGGAATAGCATTGAATCTATAAATTGCTTTAGGCAATATGGCCATTTTCATAATATTGATCCTTCCTATCCACAAGCATGGAATGTTTTTACATTTGTTTGTGTCCTCTCTGATTTCCTTGAGCAGTGGTTTGTAGTTCTTGAAGTGCTCCTTGACTTCCCTTGTTAGCTATATTCCTAGATATTTTATTCTCTTTGTAGCAATTGTGAATGGGAGTTCATTCATGATTTGGCTCTCTGTTTGTCTATTGTTGGTGTATATGAATCCCTGTGATTTTTGCACATTTATTTTGTAACCTTCTCCTGAGACTTTGCTGAAGTTGCTTATCAGTTTAAGAAGCTTTAGGCTGAGGCTATAGGGTTTTCTAGATATAGGATCATGTTATCTTCAAACAGAGACAGGTTGACTTCCTCTCTTTCTATTTGTAAAACCAAAAACTATTAAAATCCTAGAGAAAATCCAGGCAATACCACTCAGGACATAGGCCCAGGCAAAGATTTCATGACAAAAACGTCAACTGCAACTGCAACAAAAACAAAAATTGGCAAACGGGATGTAATTAAACTAAAGAGCTTCTGCACAGCAAAAGAAACTATCATCAGCATGAACAGAAAACCTACAGAATGGGAGAAAATTTTTGCAATTTATCCATCTGACAAAGGTCTAATATCCAGAATCTATAAGGAATGTAAACAAATTTCCAAGAAAAAAACCATCAACCCCATCAAACAGTGGGCAAAGAACATGAATAGACACTTCTCAAAAAAAGACATACATGCGGTTGACAAACACATGAAAAAAAAAGTCAACATCATTGATCATTAGAGAAATGCAAATTAAAATTAGAATGAGATACTATCTCATGCCAGTCAGAATGATGACCATTAAAAAGTCAAGAAACAACAGATGCTGGCGAGACTGTGGAGAAATAGGAATGCTTTTACTCTGCTGGTGGGAATGTAAATTAGTTCAACCATTTTAAAGAGTGGAAGACAGTATGGTGATTCCTCAAAGATCTAGGACCAGAAATACCATTTGACCCAGCAATCTCATTACTGGGTATATATCCAAAGGAATGTAAATCATTTTATTATAAAGATACATGTATGAATATGTTTATTGCAGCACTATTCATAAGAGTAAAGACATGGAATCAACCCAAATGCCCATCAATGATAGACTGAATAAAGAAAATATGTTACATATACACCATGGAATACTATGCAACCATAAAAAGGAATGAGATCACGTCCTTTGCAGGGACATGGATGGAGCTCGAAGCCATTATCATCAGCCATGTATCACAGGAACAGAAAACCAAACACCACATGTTCTCACTTATAAGTGGGAGCTGAACAATGAAAACACGTGGAAGAAGGAGGGGAACAACACACACTGGGGCCTGTTGAGGGTAGGCGGGGAGGGAGAGCATCAGGATAAATAGCTAATGCATGCAGGGCTCAATACCTAGGTGATAGGTTGATAGGTGCAGCAAGCCAACATGGCACAAGTTTACCTATGTAACAAACTTCCATGTCTTACACATGTATCACAGAACTTAAAATAAAATAAAATTACAATAATAATAAGAAAAGTCTCAAACCAGTAACTTACCTCCTGTCTCAACAACCTAGAAAAAGAAAACCAAAATAAACACAAACTGAGCAGAGTAAAAAAAAATAGTAAAGAGCAAAAATCAACAAAATTGAAAACAAAAAGAATAGAGATAATCAATGAATGACAAAGCAGTTTCCTTGAAAAGTTACATAAAATAGAAAAATCTCTAGTAGGAGATTTTTTTAGGAGAAAAAAAGAAAAAACAGTGCAAACATCAGGAATGAAACAATGAGTATTGCTACAGACCATGCAGCTTTGAAAATGATAACAACTCCACACAAATACATTTAACAACTTAGATGAAATGAAAAAATTCCTCAGAAACTGTAAACTAGCACAATAACCCCAACTGAAATAGGCTGAATATCCCTGTAGCTACTAAGAAAATTGAATTTATAATTTCCAAATTTCCAAAAAAGAAATTTCCACACACTCATGATTTGGCTAGAGAATTTTACCAAACACTTAAAGAATAATTGACACCATTTTTTTTTTTTCTTGAGACAGAGTGTCACTCTGTTGCCCAGGCTAGAATGCAGTGGTGCAATCTTGGCTCACTGCAACATCTGCCTCCCAGGTTCAAGCAATTCTCCTGCCTCAGCCTCCCGAGTAACTGGGATAACAGACGCCTGCCATCACGTCTGGCTAATTTTTTGTATTTTTAGTAGAGATGGGGTTTCACCATGTTGGCCAGGCTGGTCTTGAACTTGTGACCTCAAGTGATCTGCCCACCTCAGCCTCCCAAAGTATTGGAATTACAGGCGTGAGCCACTGCACCCAACAATTGATACCAATTTTAACAATCTCTTCCAGAAAATACAAGAGGGAAAACGTTCAAATTTATAAATAAAGACTACCTGAGAACAAACCAGATAAATTCAGTAAAATAAAGAAAACTACAGACTAATATCCCTGATGAATAGAAATGTAAAAGTGATTTTTTTTGTTTTTTTGGTTGTTTTTTTGAGACAGAGTCTTGCTCTGTTGCCAGGCTGGAGTGCAGTGGCGAAATCTTGGCTCACTGCAACCTCCACCTCCCAGGTTCAAGCAATTCTCCTGCCTCGGCCTCCTGAGTAGCTGGGACTACAGAGCACGCCACCACACCCAGCTAATTTTTGTATTTCTTTTTAGTAGACACGGGGTTTCACCATGTTGGCCAGGATGTCTTGATCTCTTGACCTCGTAATCTGCCTGCCTCAGCCTCCCAAAGTGCTGGGATTACAGGCATGAGCCACCACGCCCAGCCCAAATGTAAAAGTTCTTAACAAAAGATTACTAAATAGAATTCAGCCATACATTTAAAAACAAGAGAGGCTTATTCCAGAAATTTATGGCTAGCTCAATATTCAAAAATCAATCAATGTTGTTCACTAAATAACAAGCTGAAACAGAAAAATCATCAGTTGATGCAGAAATAGTATTTGACAAAATTCAAAACCCAATTACAATAAACCTCAAAAACAGGATTACAAATGTATATATACACACACACTGTCATGTCCCTCCTGCTTACACATGTACTCCATTCTCCTATGAAACTTCATTTAAAAAACATGGATTCAGAGATAAAATTACCAAGAATTTCAAGATGGTCAGAGCAGAGTATTTAACCAAGCATTGGCCCTTATTAGTACAGACCTTGGTCCAATGGAATGGGTCCCAAGCAGATAAAGCTGCCTCTGCCTGAAACTTACTAGTGAGTTCAGCAAAGTTGCAGGACACAAAGTCAACAAAAATTAATTGTATTTCTATATATCAGCAATGAACATGTGCCAAACAAAATTTAAAAATACCACTCACAATCAAAAAAATACATAGGTATAGATCTAACATGACATGTACATGATTTGTATGCCAAAAAAAAATGATGAAAGAAATCAAAGAAGATCTAAGTAAATGTAGAGACATACTATGTTCATGAATTGGAAGACTCAACATAAGCAATGATATAAATTCTCCCCAAAGTAATATACAGATTTAATGTAATTCCTATCAAATTATCGCAAGATTTTTTTTTGAAAAGTAAAAAAACTTATTCTAAAATTTAGGTAGAAAGCCATAGGAACTAGAGTAACTAAGACAATTTTGAAAAAGAATAAAGTTGGAAGAATCAGTATATCCAATTTTAAAGCTTACTGTATGGTTACAATAATTTTAAAAGTGTGGTATTGGCAGAGGGACAGACACATAAAAATAGAAAAAAATAAAGAATCTTGAAATAGACCCATACAGCCTGTCTGATTTGAACAGCCAGAACACTTGGACAAGAGTAAGGCTGTGAGGCTGATAGCTTTCCTGCTAGTCTGGCAGGGGAGCTGAGGTAGCTCCCACTCTTTGCCCTGATAAAGCCTCTCCACACCTAATTGAGAGCTCCCCCAGCCAACTTAATAAATACTGGGCCTCTGCCCACCATTGGTAGTATGTCTCCTCAACCTGCCTTAGCTACAACCAGTGCCTAGCCAGGAATACCACCCCTATTGGCCTGAAGGTTGAATCACCAATTCAGTAAATAAAATACTAGGGAAAAATTAAATAAGTAAAAAAAGTATACACTATGAGAGAACAAGATAAGCTTCAAGAGATCCCTGCCATTCTAACCCCCTAGGAGACAGTAAACTTGCCCATATACCAAGTATATAACTACTACAACCAGCATCTGGGAAAACCAGCAGACAAAGACTATAACTAAGTAACTCATACAGAGTCTTCACCCGTAAAAGCACCAAGAACCAAATTCAGCTAAAATAAACTACAAACATTAAAGTTTGATCCTTAAGAGCAGAAAGAAATTTAAAAAACACCACAATCCAATCAAAACTAAATTCAAGAACAATTTGAAGAAATAGTTTACCCAAGGAAATACCAGAGGAAGGTAAAAAACAACACAAAGAAATTTTTTAAAAATACAGGATATGGATAAAAAATTTTCCAGAGAGATAGCATAAAGAAAAAGAACTACAACTTCTGGAAATAAAATACACACTTAGGGAAATATAAAATGCACTGGAGAGTTTCAACAATAGACTAGAACAAGTAGAAGAAAGAATTTCAGAGGTCAGAGACAAGGCATTCAAATTAACCCAATCAGAAAATGAAAAAAAAAGAATTAAAAAAATAAAGTCTCCAAGAAATATGAGATTATGTTAAACAGCCAAACCTAAAATTAACTGGTGTCCTGAGGAAGAAGAAAAATCTAAATTTTGGGAAACATATCTGAAGGAATTATTGAGGAAAACTTTGCTGGCCTTGATAGGGATCTAGACATCCAAATACAAGAAGCTCAAATAACTTATGGGAAATTCATCACAAAAAAATTATCAGCAAGGCACACAATCATCAGGCTAAACAATGTGACTACAACAATTACTACTGAAGTCAAGATGGAGAAAAGAATCTTAAGAGCTGTGAGACAAAAGCATCAGATAACCTATAAAGAAAAACCTATAAGGTTAACAGCAGATTTGTCAGCAGAAACCTTACAAGCCAGAAGGGATTCAAGCCAGAAGGGATTGTGGTCCCATCTTCCACCTCCTTAAACAAAATAATTGTCAGCCAGGAATTTGGTATCCAGCAAAATTAAGCTTCATGAATGAAGGAGAGATAAAGTCTTTTTCAGACATACAAATGCTGAGAGAATTTGCCACTACCACACCAGCACTACAAGAAATTCTAAAGTTCTAAATCTTGAAACAAAACCTCAATATTCACCAAAATAGAAACCCCTTAAAGCATAAATCTCACAGGGCCTATAAAACAATAACACAATTTAAAAAAAAACAAAGTATTTAGGCAACTAACATGATGAATAGAACAATACCTCACATCTCAATACTAATATTGAATGTAAATGGCCTAAAAACTCCACTTAAAAGATACAGAATGGCAGAATGAATAAAACACCACCAACCCAATATCTGTTGTCTTCAAGAGACTCATCTAACAGATAAGGACTCACATAAACTTAAGGTAAAGAGCTGGAAACATGTTCCATGCCAATGGAAACCAAAAATGAGCAGAACTAGCTATTCTTATATCAGACAAAACAGACTTTAAAACAATAACAGTTAAAAAAAAGACAAAGAAGGACATTATATAATGATAAAAGGATTAGTCTAAAAGGAAGATATTACAATTCTAAATTTATATCCACCTAACACTGGAGCTCCCAAATATATTAAACAATTAGTACTAGACCTAAGAAATAAAATAGACAGCAACACAATAATAGTGGGGCACTTCAATACTCCACTGACAGCACTAGACAGATCATCAAGACAGAGAGTCAACAAAGAAACAATAGACTTAAACTATACCCTAGAACAAATGGGCTTAACAGATATTAACAGAACATTCTTCCCAACAACTGCATAATACATTCTTCTCATCAGCGTGGGGAACATTCTCCAAGATAGACCATGACAGGCCACAAAATAAGCCTCAATTAATCTAAGAAAATCAAAATCATATCAAGTATCTTCTCAGACCACAATGCAATAAAACTGGAAATCAACTCCAAAAGGAACCTTCAAAACTATACAAATCATGGAAATTAAATAATACGCTCTTGAATTATTTTTGGGTTTGAAGAAGGAATTAATAAAATCAACTATAACTTAATAGTAGCAGTAATAGAAATTTTAAAATCCTCTTAAAGTTGCTGCAAATTGTGACCCTCCCTTAAACTCAAGTTAAAAAGGAATATTAACAGCCTGTCTTCTCGCTGTGGACAGTGAACCTTATCTATACTCCACAACTCCACATTCCTGAAAGTTTATTACAGGCCCAGTGAGTTCCTGCATGGCTGCAGTGTCACAAGACCAATAAGTTTAGGTTGCAAGACATGTTTCTCTCAAGATGTAAGAAATGTTGTAATGCTGCCTTTGTTTCTTGCATCTGTAACTCACTTCCTGCCTCACATAGTTCCCACCTTAAGATGTTTAAAAGTAGGAAAAGCCCTTTCTTCAGGGCTCAGACTTTCTGGACATATGTCCGGCTGAGCCGGTGAGCACCTTAATAAACTTTCCTCCACCTTTTTTGGTCTCTCTGAGTGGTGACAGCGTGCTGGCAGCCCTTGCAGCCCTCACTCGCTCTGGGCGCCTCCTCTGCCTGGGCTCCCACTTTGGTGGCACTTGAGGAGCACTTCAGCCCACCGCTGCACTGTGGGAGCCCCTTTCTGGGCTGGTCAAGGCCGGAGCTGTCTCCCTCAGCTTGCAGGTAGGTGTGGAGGGAGAGGCATAAGTGGGAACTGGGGCTGCGCGTGGCAATTGCGGGCCAGCTGGAGTTCTGGGTGGGCATGGGCTTGGCGGGCCCCGCACTCAGAGCAGCCGGCCAGCCCTGCCGGACCCAGGCAATGAAGGGCTTAGCACCTGGGCCAGCGGCTGCGGAGGGTGTACTGGGTCCCCCAGCAGTGCTGGCCCACTGGCATTGCACTTGATTTCTCCCCAGGCCTTAGCTGCCTCCCTGTGGGGCAGGGCTCAGAACCTGCAGCGGGGCAGGGCTCAGAACCTGCAGCTGGCCATGCCTGAGCCTCCCCCACTCCGTGGGCTCCTGTGTGGCCCAAGCCTCCCCAAAGAGCACCACCCCCTGCTCCATGGTGCCCAGTCCCATCGACCACCCAAGGGCTGAGGAGTGCGGGCGCATGGCACGGGACTGGCAGGCAGCTCCACCTGCGGCCCTGGTGCAGGATCCACTGGGTGACGACAGCGGGGCTCCTCAGCCTGGTGGGAACTTGGAGAACCTTTATGTCTAGCTAAGGGATTGTAAACACACCAATTGGCACTCTGTATCTAGCTCAAGGTTTGTAAACACACCAATCAGCACCCTGTGTCTAGCTCAGGGTTTGTGAATGCATCAATCGACACTCTGTATCTAGCTACTCTGGTGTGGACTTGGAGAACCTTTATGTCTGGCTAGGGGATTGTAAATACACCAATCAGCACTCTGTATCTAGCTCAAGGTTTGTAAACACACCAATCTGCACCCTGTGTCTAGTTCAGGGTTTGTGAATGCACCAATTGATGCTCTGTATCTAGCTCCTCTGGTGGGGACTTGGAGAACCTTTGTGTCTAGCTAAGGGATTGTAAATACACCAATTGGCACTCTGTATCTAGCTCAAGGTTTGTGAACACACCAATCAGCACCCTGTGTCTAGCTCAGGGTTTGTGAATGTACCAATCGACACTCTGTATCTAGCTATTCTGGTGGGGACTTGGAGAATCTTTATGTCTAGCTAAGGGATTGTACATACACAAATCAGCACTCTGTATCTAGCTCAAGGTTTGTAAACACACCAATCAGCACCCTGTGTCTAGCTCAGGGTTTGTGAATGCACCAATCGACACTCTATCTAGCTACTCTGATGGGGACTTGGAGAACCTTTGTGTTGACACTCTGTATCTAGCTAATCTAGTGGGGACGTGGAGAACCTTTGTGTCTAGCTCAGGGATTGTAAACGCACCAATCAGCACCCGGTCAAAACAGACCACTCGGCTCTCTGTAAAATGGACCAATCAGCAGGATGTGGGTGGGGCCAGTTAAGAGAATAAAAGCAGGCTGCCCAAGCCAGCAGTGGCAACCCGCTCAGGTCCCCTTCCACACTGTGGAAGCTTTGTTCTTTGGCTCTTTGCAATAATCTTGCTGCTGCTCACTCTTTGGGTCCACACTGCCTTTATGAGCTGTAACACTCACCGTGAAGGTCTGCAGCTTCACTCCTAGCCAGCGAGACCACGAATCCACCAGAAGGAAGAAACTCCGAACACATCCAAACATCAGAAGGAACAAACTCCGAACACTCCGCCTTTAAGAACTGTTAACACTCACCATGAAGGTCCGCGGCTTCATTCTTGAAGTCAGTGAGACCAAGAACCCACCAATTCTGGACACATCTCCAGTCTTTGATTGCCCCGTAACATTTCTGGGGACCCATCCGGGAGTGGAGACAGAAGATTTTCTGTTTTGACAGGGTGCTGATTCGGATGAAACTCACACCCTAACTGACACCAGATGCAGGTGGGGCTCGTGAATTGGTCAGAAAGGAAAACTGTTTCAGGGACAGAGGAAGTGTGTGAAAGTGTGTGAAAGAGATGGTCTCAGGAGAGACCAACATAGAGCGTGACGCTGGGAGGCACAGACCTCTTATCATGGACTGTGTGCTCCAAGGAGAGTATGGGAAAAACCAGACCTAGGACACTGCATACAGTCCATAGAACCAGTTCCACAGCTGCAGCTAGCTGTGACAGGAATTAAGGCACTCTCCGGGCTAAGTAGTATCAAAACCTCCTGTAATAGGACCCAGTCTGGTGGATCCAAAAGTGAAACTGAGAGTGAAAGCATGCCATGAGGGAGGAAATGGGAGGAAAAGCATCAAAGCCTACTCCACTGGAGTGCATGCTGAAAAACTTTAAAAAAGGTTTTAATGGTGATTATGATGTTAACCTAACTCCACAGAAACTGAGAACCCTTTGTGAGATAGACTGGCCATCTCTTAAGGTAGGGTGGCCAGCCAAGGGGAAAATAGACAGGGAGATAATTGGCCGAGTGTTTTGGGTGGTCACCAGGCTTGGAGAACAGCCTGGGCACCTGGATCAGTTTCCACATATCGACTCCTGGCTAAGTGTAATTCAGACCTGCCCTGAGTGGCTGCAGGGCACTGCAGCCTACTTTAAGACCTACTGTAAGACTCTAATGGCCTGGACAAAACCAGGAACCACAGAAAGAGACTGCAAGGCATCAGAAAAAGAAAAGGAGTCATAGAAAAAGCAGAAAAAAACCATCTTACAGGCCCCACCTGAAGAGTTAGAAAGTCCACCCCCCTATGCACCAATTTATCCATCCCTGACAAGGCTTAGACAGGAGGCTGCCCCAGCTGCCTACAGAGGCTCAGACTCAGAAGAAAGCAACACCATGCAGAGAGGAGCCAGAGCCCTTGCCTGAAAAGCCAAGGGAGGAACTCCAAGGGGATGAGGTCGGCTGCCTTAGGTCGGGCCATGCCCAAGCAATGCAGGTGCCCCTCCGAGAAACACAGAAACAAATTTATTTGAATGCACAGAATGAAGTCCAAGGGGCAGAACAGCTCTTCGTTTATCAGCCCTTCTCTACTACTGATCTCTTAAATTGGAGACAACATACTCCCTCCTATACAGAGAAGCCTCAGGCTCTTATAGATCTAATGCAGTCCATTTTCCTAACTCACAATCCTACCTGGGCTGATTGCAAACAACTTCTTCTGTCATTATTTAATACAGAAGAGCACTGTAGAGTTATACAAGCTGCTCTCTAGAGGCTGGAGAACAATGCACCTGCAGGCACAGGAGATATCAGGCAGTATGCACAATAAGCACTCCCAATAGACGCTGACCCAAACTGGGACCCTAACCAGGCTCAAGGGCTACAAAGTTTGGAGCAGTATCAAGAGGCACTCCTAAATGGAATAAAGCCTGCAGGGAAAAAGGCCAATATCAGAAAGGTCTCAGAGGTCCACCAGAGCCAAATGAAAGTCCCAGTGAATTTTATGAGAGACTCTGCAAGTCTTACTGGCTTTACACGCCATTTGACACAGAGGCTGCAGGTAATCAGTGTATGGTTAATGCGGCATTTGTAAGCCAGGTGCAAGAAGACATAAAGCTAAAGCTTCAGAAGTTAGAAGGTTTTGAAGGCATATTACCAAGCTTATACAGGTGGCTACTAAGATGTTTGTAAATCAAGATGAGGAGGCCAAGAGAGAAGCTAGATGCAGAGCCAAGGAAAAGGCAGACTTGCTGGCAGCAGCCTTAGTTGGAAGAGAAACCGGTTTTGTGAGAGGACGTGGTCATGGTCACAGTCATGGTAGAGGACTAGCTAGGCAAAACCAGTAAGCTAAGCCAGAACAAGGGGGCTGACCTAGGATTGAGAAAGATCAATGTGTGAAATGCAAGCAGATGGGACACTGGAGGAATGAATGTCCAGAGAGAGAAAAGGATAGAGGCAACAATCAAGGACAAAACGGCTGGCCAGAACCCCCTGCCACCAGTCAAGGGGTTCAGAAGTCAGATATGGATTTAATCAGAGTGGCAGGAATCAATGATTATTATGAGGACTGAGACAGACTGGGTTCCACTTCATTAGGCCCCAAGGAGCCTATGGTCTCAATGGAGGTAGAGGGCCAAAAAGTGGACTTTATGGTCAATACTGGTGCAGAGCACTCAGGAGTAACTCAAGCGATTGGGCCATTGTCTAAAAATTATGTCAATATAATTGGAGCTACAGGAGTAACAGAGGCCTTACTTCAAATCTACAAGATGTGTGATTGGAGGACAGCAGGTTCAACATGAATTTTTATATTTGCCAAATTGTCTGGTGCCCTTGTTAGGAAAAGCCTTGCTCCAGAAATTGCAAGCACAAATCTCCTTTACACCGTAAGGGGGCACGACTCTAAACCTAGGTCAAAGAAAAGGCATGATAATGACCCCTACTGTCCCAACAACAAAGGAATGGAGACTCTATGAGAGATGCAAAATTTATAAAGATGCATTTTGCCAGCGGGAAAATGAGGCAATGTATAAGAAATTATTTCTCAAGCTGCCAGGGGTCTGGGTGGAAGACAGTCCCCCAGGCTAGCCATAAATCAGGCACATGTAGTGGTGGAACTGCTGCGGGGCACTTACCCAGTGTGAATCCGTCAGTATCCCATCCCAGCAGAAGCCACCCATGGGATTACAAAGCATATAGACTGGCTCCTTAAATTTGGGATAATGCAAAGATGTGCCTTGTCTTGGAACACTCCATTGGTACCGGTGTTAAAGCCCTCCAGAGATTACCAGCCAGTAAAGGATTTGCGGGCCATAAATAAAGTTGCAGCTACATTATATGCCATTGTGCCCAACCCATATACAATGCTTGGGTGAATTCCTGTGGATGCTGCTTGGTTTACATGCTTAGACATAAAGGATGCATTCTTCTGCATCCAACGAGCTCCTGAAAGCCAGGGCATCTTTGTCTTTGAGTGGGGCTCATCACAGTATACTTGGACCAGGCTCCCCCAAGGATTCAAAAACCCCCCAATCATTTTTGAGGAAGCACTAGACAGACCTGAAGGCTTTTGTGCCACCAAGTGACCCCTGTGTCCTGTTGCAGTACATGGATGATGTATTGTTGGCTGCACCCACAAAAGAAGAGTGCTTTCAAGGCACAGAAAGCCTCCTTCGTGTTCTGTGGGAGGCTGGCTATAAGGTGTCTAAGGAAAAAGGCACAAATCTGTGGCCAAAGGGCAAGATATCTTGGCTTTAACATCTCTCAGGGGCAGCATGAGCTTGGACATGAGTGAAAAGAGAACATGTGTGGCATTCCTCTACCTGACACTAGGCGACAAGTGCAGGAGCTTTTAGGGGCAGATGGTTTCTGTCACATTTGGATTCCAAATTACTCGCTTTTGGCAAAACCATTGTATAAGGCTACCAAAGCTGGGGCGGGGGCAGGGGGGAAGAATCCCTCCTGTGGGAAAAAGAGCAGGACATGGCCTTCAAAGACATCAAGAAGGCTTTGATCCAGGCCCCAGCATTAGGACTGCCAGACATGACAAAGCCTTTTTACCTGTATGTCCATGAAAGAAAAGGAATAGCTACAGGAATCTTGGTACAAACACTAGGGTCATGGTACTGGCCCACGGCATATTTCTCCAAGTGTCTAGACCTGGTGGCTATGGGATGGCCACCCTGTTTCAAGGCATTGGCAGCCACTGCCCTGTTAGTGGAAGATGCTAACAAGCTCACATTTGGACAAAGGTTAATAATTCGGGTGCCCCACATGGTCGTGTCACCCTGATGGAGCAGAGGGGGCATCACTGGCTATCTAACCCTAAGATGTTAAGATATCAAGGGCTTTTGTGTGAAAACCCCTACATAACCCTGGAGACTGTGAACACTCTAAATCCAGCCACACTGCTGCCAACAGAATGGGTGGAGCACGGAAAGCCCCATTGTGTGGCCCAGGGTATCACTGTTGTGTGGAAACAGTGGATGAGGTTTTATCAAGCCAAAAAAACTTAACGGACTAGCCCTTAAGAGACCCAGATGTTAAATACTTTACTGATGGAAGCAGCTTCATATCTGAAGGTGTCAGACGGGCTGGATGTGCAGTGGTAACACTGAATTCAGTAGCCGAAGCCCGCCCTCTGCCAGTCGGAACTTTGGCCCAAAGAGCTGAGCTAATAGCTCTCACTAGAGCATTGCTCTTAGCCAAAGGAAAGTCAGTAAACATCTATACTGACTCAAGGCATGCTTTTGCCACTTTGCATGCCCACAGAGCCAAATATAAGGAAAGAGGATTATTAACTACTGAAGGAAAGGAAATCAAAAATAAAAAGGAAATAGAGAAGCTCTTAGAAGCCGTATGGGCTCCAAAAGAAGTAGCAGTCATCCATTGCAAAGAACAACAAACAGGAGGAGGTGACAAGGCTAGAGGAAACAGAAAGGCAGACAGAGAAGCCAAAAGAGCTGTAATGACAGAGGTAACTAAGAAGGAAAAGGAAACCCTTACCATGCCCTTACTGGAGCTTCCCCTAACAGAACTCCCTAACTACTCTTCTAATGAAAAGGCTTCGTTTGAGCAGGAGAGTGGAAGTTACCAGAAAGGATGTTAGTGGAAGTTCTCAGATGGGAGGCTTGCCATCGCAGAAGCAATAGCCCCCCGGTTCATAAAGCAGTTTCATCAAGGAAAGCATATGGGAAAAACTGCATTAGAAACTCTTATAGGACGACATTTCTATGTGCTGCTCCCAACTGCCATCACTCAAGCCGTTTGTGAGCAATGCTTGGCTTGTGCCCAAAACAATCCATGGCAGCGGCCAACACGGCCCCCAGGGATTCAAGAAACTGGAGTTATACCCTGTGAAAACCTGCTTGTGGACTTTATGGAGCTGCCTCAAGCCAGAGGCTACTGGTACATGCTAGTGTTTGTCTGCACTTTCTCAGGGTGGGTGAAGGCATTTCCTACCAGGAAAGAGAAAGCTCAGGAAGTAACCAGAATCTTACTAAAGGACATTATTCCTAAATTTGAACTGCCTTTAACTTTAGGAACAGACAATGGCCCAGCATTTGTGACAGAAATAGTACAACAGCTAATGCAGATGTTAAAAATCAAATGGAAACTGCATACAGCTTATCGCCCACAAAGTTCTGGAAAAGTTAAAAGAATGAACCAGACACTCAAACAGCTGTTAAAGTTTTGCCAAGAAACTCATCTAAGGTGGGATCAGGTGCTGCCCATGGTCCTTCTCTGAGCCAGGTAAACCCCTACTAAAGTAACTGGGTATTCACCCTATGAGATAGTGTTTGGCCAAGCACCCCTGATGATAACTCAGATAAAAGGTGATTTAAGAGAATCTGGGGAATTAACCTTAAGAAGGCAAATGCAAGCCTTAGGTGAGGCCATACAGGAAATATAAGGGTGAGTAAGAGAAAGAATACCTGTTAGCCTCACAGATGCAGTACATCCCTTCCAACCTGGAGACTCTGGGTCAAACAATAGAACCCAACCACTTTAGGGCCTTTATGGGATGGTCCCCATATTGTGATCTTGTCTATCCGCACAGCTGTTAAAGTTGCAGGTATCATACCTTGGGTTCATCATAGCTGGCTGAAACCAGCAGCAGCTGCCATCCAGGACCAGTGGACCAGTCAACAAAACCAAGACCACCCAACATGGCTGATCCTGCAGTGAAACCAAGTCACTGCTGACACGGACAACTTCCCTGCTCTGACTGCACCAGAGGCTGGTCGGTCCATGCACAACTGAAGCTTGAGGAAACACTGAGCCCTGCTCTAGTCACACAAACAGAATCTGACTAGTCTATGCATGGCCAAAGCCTAAGGAAGTCAATGATAGATAACTAAATGCGGGTTAAATGTACAAACATAGTTATATGTTTACTTGTACTGATTATTTTGCTGTCATGTTATCTTTGCAAATGCTGCCAAGCTTGTTGCCTAGAAGGGTGCCTGTGCATAGTATAAGCTTAATCATATTAGTAATACTAAAGCCACCGACACTTTCACCTATGGTTATAATTGGGGACCAGGATGTCTGTCATCACTGTATGATAGAAGCCTGGTCCAGAAAAGGTGTGACTAAAACTCTGTTATACCAGACCTACTACAACTGTACAGGGACTCATACAGGAACTTGTGTCTATAACTAGACTAGTTACTCGGTCTGCAATCCTGGAAATGAGCAGCCCCAACTATGTTATGACCCAGAGTTCTTGCCCTATGACTTCGGGTTTAAAGTCCGAATTGGCGAACCCCTAATGCCATTATATACCAACCCCACAGAAACCAGGGTCAGTAAACTTGTAAACAAAACAGAAGTATTCCCGTACTCGCATAAAAGGCCTGTCTCCATATATTTTGATGCCTGCCAAGCTGCACATCTCAGTAAACTAAATAATATTAAAACCACCTGTAAAAATCTAGGACAAGAAAAACTCAGCAGCAGAGCCATTATTCGGGTCGTGGGGTATGTCTGTTCTTGGTGGCTTTGCAAAAGTACCAACTGGTATCACAAGATGGGTATGTACCCACTCAAGAAGAAATAGCTAACTGTGGTGCTCTTTACTAATCTACATTTGTGTCGAGCACCAAAAGGGAGGAATGAAGAAGGAAATAATGAAAATAACTATAACCTAATAGTAGTAGTAATAGAAATTTTAAAATCTTCCTAAAGTTGCTGCAAAGTGTGACACCCCCCTTACACTCAAGTTAAAAAGGAATACTAACAGCCTGTCTTCTCTCTGTGGACAGTGAACCTTATCTATACTCCACAACTCCACATTCCTCAAAGTTTATTAGAGGCCCAGTGAGTTCCTGCATGGCTGCAGGGTCACAATACCAATAAGTTTAGGTTGCAAGACATGTTTCTCTCAAGATGTAAGAAATGTCGTAATGCTGCCTTTGTTTCTTGCTTCTGTAACTTACTTCTCGCCTCACGTAGTTCCCACCTTAAGAAGTTTAAAAGTAGGAAAAGCCCTTTGTTCAGGGCTCAGAATTCTGGACATATGTCCGGCTGAGCCGGTGATCACCTTAATAAACTTTCCTGAACCTTTTTCAGTCTCTCCAATATTTGATTTTCCCACAACAGGTTAACAATGAAATCAAGAAATAAATTTAAAAATTCTTTGAAATGAATAATAATCATGACACAACTTATCAAAACCTCTGGGACACAGCAAAAGTGCTGCTAAGAGGAAAGTACATAGCATTAAATGCCTACATCAAAAAGACTAAAACAGCATCCGACGGAGTTTCGACAAAAGTGCAAGAGCAATTATTTAATGAAAAAATCGTCTTCAACAAATACTGCTGGAGCAATTGGACATCCATAGTAGAAGAAAAAACAACCTTGACCTCAATCTCATACCTTAAACAAAAAAATAGCTCAAAATGAGTTATAATTTTAAATGTAAAACCATAAAAACTTTTAGAAAAAAAATCAGAGAAAATCTTTGAGACCTAAGGCACCGAGACGTGACCTAGATGTCACAAAATTCTAGTTAGTATATGGAGAAACTAGATCTCCTACATATTTCTGGTAGAAATATAAAGTGACACAGCCACTCCAGGAAATAGCTTTGCATCTTCTTATAAATGTAAACAAATGTCATACAACCCGGCAATTGCGCTTTTTGGAAATTACACCGAGAGACGAAAACTTATGTTCACAAACATACTTGCACACAAATGATCATAGCAGCTTTACTTGTAATAAGTTCACAATGGAAACAATCTAGATATCCTTCAATGGGTGAATAGTTAAATAAACTGTAGTCACTAATACTGTAAAATACTACTCAAGAAATAAAATAAGCTCTTGATGTACACAACTTGAATGAATCTCCAGGAAATTATGCTTTGTAAAAATACAATCCCAAAAAGTTACACATTGTATGATTCCACTTATTTAACATTCTTGAGTTATAAAATTATAAATATGGAGAGCAGATTAGTGAATTCCAGGCGTTAGAAATAGGAGAGATAGGGATGACAATGGAAGTGACTATAAATGGGTAGCACAAGAACAATCTTTGTGGTGATAGAACCATTTTGTGTCTTGATTATAGTGGTTGTTACATGAGTGTAGTCATGATAAAATTACATATAACTATGCACATTCAAGTATACACACACACACACGAGTGCATGTACGACATTAACATATGGGGTGAATTGAACATAAAACCTCTGTACTAGTTTTGCAACTTCCTACAAATCTGCAACTATTATGAAATAAAAAAGTATTTTAAAAAGTGAAATAATAAAAGCAGAGAGAATTTGTTCTAACAAAGCTGCAGTAAAATAAAGAATAAAGAAAAATTTTCAGGCAAAAGAAAAAGAATGCAAGTAGACATAGTAAGGAATGAGGATAAAAAGAAAGAATAAATACATATGCTGATAAATATATATGAATATAAACAATATTAACATACTAAACTATATTAGCAATGTATTATAGGGTTTAAAACGGATGTGAAAATAAAATACAAAAAAAATAATCCAAAGAGCAACAGGGATGGTAAATAGAGGTAAAGTGCAAGTTGCTGTCATTATTAAAGAAGTGGTAAAAGAAATGCTCTATTTTAGATCAAAATAAGTGAAGGATTCATGTTGAAATCCTCAAAAAGAGTTATTAAAGATAATCCCTCAAAAAGCGTGAAAAAATACATATTAATGTCATATAGAGAAAAATAGGATAATAAAAAGTTTAAGTAAAAAGAAAGTAAAATAAAAAAGAAACATAAAGACTGAAATAAAAATATGGCAGATAAAAACCTAGCTATATCAATAAATTATATTAAATGTTAGGTACACCAAGTATAAGACTAATATTGTCACCAGGTGCATTGGCTCACGCCTGTAATCCCAGCACTGGGAGGCCGAGGCAGGCAGATCTCAAGGTCAAGAGATTGAGACCATCATGGCCAACATGGTGAAACCACATTTCTACTAAAATGACAAAAATTAGCTGGGCATGGTGGTGTGTGCCTGTAGGCCCAGCTACTTGGGAGGCCGAGGCAGGAGTATCACTTGAACCCAGGGCGTGGAGGTTGCAGTGAGCTGAGATTGTGCCACTGCACTCCAGCCTGGTGACAGAGTGAGACTCCGTCTCAAAAAAGAAAAATTGACTAATATTGTCAGACTAATTTTTTAAAATTGTATGCTTAAAAATGACTATGAAGACATTGACAATAATATAATGGAAATATATATGCCATGCAAACACAAAGTAAAGATGGACTAGCTATGCAAATATCAATGTATATTTCAAGACAAGATATATTACTACAGAGAAAGAGATATTTTATAATGATAAAGTAATAAATACATATACAGAAAATAAATGTATACATCCAACAACTTAGATTCAAAACATAAGTCATCACTACTAAAAAGAGAAATTCTAAAATTTATAATCATAGTGGGAGCTTTTAACGGTCCTCTCTTAATATCAGATAGAACAAATACAAACAAATTAGTAAGAATTTACAGATCTAACAACACAATTAATGAACTTAGTCAAATTTACATATATAGTACATTGAACCTAGTAACAGAATAGTAAAATTAGTTTGTGCACATTTACTAAAATTGTCCATGTGCTGAATCATAAAACAAGTCTCAACAAATGTCAAAGAAGCTAAAACCATATACTATGATCTTTCCACAGTGGCATTTTATTTTTTACTAACAAGAGATAGAAAACTCTCAACTTCTTGAAAACTAATTAACTTCTAAATAACACAAGGTTCAAATAAGAAACTATAGGAAAAATTATAAAAGTTTTAGTTCAACATTAATAAATATTAGACATAAAATCTGTTGGATGGAGCTCAAACAATTTTCAGGGAAAAATTATGGCCCTAAAGTCACATATTAAAGAAGAAAAAATATTGAAATCAGTTATGTAAGGTTCCATCTCATTAATCTAGTTAAAAGACAGTAAACCAAACCCAATGAAGAATAAAAATCAGTAAACTAGAAAAATACATGTACATTTGAAAAAAATCAAGAATTCTATCAGTACTTTGAAAATACTGAAAAAATGATAAATCTCCAGAAGACTTATTTTTAAAAAAGATAACTCAAAAATAACCAATATTAGGAATTGAAAATAGTAAACTACTACAGGCCCTACCATTAAGGCTAATAAATTTGAAAAATTAGATGAATAGGAAAAATTTCTTCAAAAACACAACTTACCAAAACTGACTCAAGAAAAAACAGAATATCTGAACATTTCTACACCTATTAAGGAAATATAATATGTCATTTAAAATTGCCCCACATAGAAAACCCAGGCCTACATTGCTTTACTGGTGAATTTTTCCAAATTTTAAGAGGGAACACCAAAATTTCACAAATATTTATAGAGTATAGAAAAAAGGAAACATCCCCCATTCATTTCATAAAGTCGACATAACTATGAAGTGAGAACTTGACAGGGGAATCAAAAGAATGGAAACTTACATACTAAACTTTTGTGAACATAGAGATTAAAATCTCAACTTATTAGCAAAATATTAGCAAACCCAGCATATATTAGCACATATAATAATGCTAATACATCGCAAAATTTGTATGTATTCTGGGAATGCAAGGGTCATCTAACATTTAAAGATCAACTGATGTAACTTACCACATTAACACATTTAAAAAGGGAAAAATTACATGCTCATCTCAATAGGTGCATGAGAAAGTATATGATAAAATTCAACACCCATTCATGATTTAAAATATATATATATTTCCTATAAGCGTATATATATATATATATACGCTTATAGGAAAATAAGAGCAAAATAAACTTTCTTAATCTTACAAAGAACGTCTACCAAAAATCTTCCAGCAAATATCACACTTAAAGGTGAAATAATGAAAACATTCCCCCTACAATCAGTAATGAGACAAGAAAACCACTGTTCTTTTCCATTTTAGTCAGTACTGTACTGGAGGCCTATAGAGGACAAACTCAAAGGTAGTTTCCATGAGTCCCACCTCATAGTATTCTTGCCCTTGAGTGTGCACGGGACCTGTGATTTCCTTTTAGCTAATAGAATATGACAAAGGTCATGGGCTGTCACTTCTGTGTTCACATATGATTACGACCTCCATCTTGTAAGGAAACTCACACCCTTATTGGTTTTGAAGCAGCAAGCTGCTCTGTTGTGAGCTGGCTTATTGAGAGGGCTATATGGCAAAAAACTGAGGATCACCTCTGGCCAAACAGCCGGCAAAAAGTTGAGGCCCTCAATCCAACAACATGCAAGGGATATGAATGCTACCAACAACAAAATGAGCTTGAATAAAGATCCTTTCCCAGTCAAACCTCAGAAAATCGCACAGCCCTGGCCACAATTTTAATTTGTGAGACCCTGCAACAAAAAAGTCAGCTAATAATATATATTTTTTAATTCTCAAATAAGCCAGGCATGGTGGCACATGCCTGTAGTTCCAGATATTCCAGATACTTGGGAGGCTGAAAAAGAAGGATCCCTTGAGCCTAGGGGTTTGAGGCCAGCCTGAATAACATAGTGAGGCTCTATCTCTGAAAAAACATTTTTAAAACTTTTTGTAAACTCAACTAAGCTATGACTAGTCTCCTAACCCACTGAACTATGAGATAATAAATGTGTGTTAAGTCACTAAGTTTATGGTAACATTGTTATATAGCAATAGATAGTTAATACAAGGTCCTAACTAGTGTAATATGGTAACAACAACAAAAGACATGTGTGTGTGTTTATATAATGTATAAATATGTATGAATATATATTATAAAATATGTATATACAACTACCATTTACAAAAGCATTAAAAAATATCAAATATTTCTCAAAGAACTTAAAGCAGAGCAAACATTTGACCCAGCAATCCCATTACTGGGTATATACCCAAAGGAAAATAAATCATTCTACCAAAATGTCATCTGCCCTCATATGTTTAGTACAGCAGTATTCATAATAGCAAGGACATGGAATCAACCCAAGTGCCCATCAACAGTGGATCAGATAAAGAAAATGTGGTACATATACACCATAGAATACTATGCAGCCATAAAAAAAAAAAATCACAACCTTTGCAGCCACAAGAATGCAGCTGGAGGCAATAATCCTAAAAGAATTAATGTAGGAACAGAAAACAATACTATATGTTCTCACTTAAAAGTGGGAGCTAAACATTGAGCACACATAGACATAAACATTTGAAGAATGGACACTATGAACTTCTAGAAGACGGAGGAAGGCAAACTACATACTAGACGGAAAAACTACCTATTTGGTACTATGCTCACCACCTGGGCGACAGGATCCATACCCCAAACCTCAGCATCACATAATATGTCCATGTAATAAACATTAAACATGCCCATGCATCCTCTCTGTCTAAAATAAGAGTTGACATTTTTTAAAAAATCAAATATTTAAGACAAAACCTAAAAAAATGTGGAACATCTCTACAAAAAAATCTATAAATGTTACCTGGAGAAAGCAAAGACTCTAAGCAAATAAAGGAATATAACATATGTCCACAGACTGAATGAATCACCACTGTCACTGTCAATGACAGAGAGTCAATATTGCCATCTCCCACAGTCATGTCAGTTCTCCCGAAAATGATCTATAGATTCAAGGTAGTTCTAATCAAAATCTCACAAGGGTGTTTGTGGAATTTTTCAAGCCATTTGTTAAACAGAAATGCAAGAGCGGCTGGCAAGATGGCCAAATAGGAACAGCTCCGGTCTGCAGCTCCTAGCAAGATCAACACAGAAGGTGAGTCATTTCTGCATTTTGAACTGAGGTACTCAGCTCATCTCACTGGGACTGGTTAGATAGTTGGTGCAGACCATCGAGGAGGAGCAGAAGCAGGGTGGGGCGTTGCCTCACCCAGGAAGTGCAAGGGGTTGAGGAACTCCCTACCTTAGCCAAGGGAAGCTGTGAGGGACTGTGCATTCCGGCTCAGATACTACACTTTCCACAGTCTTCACAACCTGCAGACCAGGAGATTCCCTCCGGAGCCTACACCACCAGGGCCCTAGGTTTCAAGTGCAAAATATGGCAGCCATTTGAGCAGACACCGAGCTAGCTGGAGGAGTTACTTTTCATACCTCAGTGGCGCTTGGAATGCCAGTGAGACAAGCATTCACTCCCCTGGAAAGTGGGCTGAAGCCAGGGATCCAAGTGGTCTAGCTCAGTGGACCCCAACCCCACCGAGCACAGCAAGCTAAGATCTACTGGCTTGAAACTCTTGCTGTCAACACAGCAGTCTGAGGTCGATCTGAAACATGCTATCTTGGTGGGGGGAGGGGCGTCCTCCATTACTCAGCTTGAGTAGGCGGTTTTCTGCTGACAGTGTAAACAAAGCCGCCAGGAAGTTCCACCTGGATGGAGCCCACCACAGCTCCACAAAGGTGCTATAGCCAGACCTCCTCTCTAAATTCCTCCTTGCTGGGCAAGGCATCTCTGAAAGAAAGGCAGCAGCCCCAGTCTGGGGCTTATACATAAAACTCTCATCTCCCTGGGACAGAGCACCTGGAGGAAGGAGCGGGTGTTGGCGCAGCTTCAGCAGACTTAAACATTCCTGGCTGCTAGTTCTGAATAGAGATCTCCCAGCACAGTGCTCAAGCTCTGCTAAGGGACAGACTGCCTCCTCAAGTGGGTACCTAACCCCCATAACTCCTGACTGGGAGACACCTCCCAGCAGGGGTTGACAGATACCTCATACAGGAGAGCTCCAGCTGACATATGGCGGGTGCCCCTTTGGGATGAAGCTTACAGAAAAAGAAACAGGCAGCAATCTTTGCTGTTCTGCAGCATCCACTGGTGATACCCAAGCAAACAGTCTGCAGTAGACCTCCAGCAAACTCCAGCAGATGGCCTGACTGTTAGAAAGAAAACTAACCAACAGAAAAGAATAGTATCAACATCAACAAAAAGGATATCCACACCAAAACCCCATCCGAAGGTTACCAACATCAAAGACCAAAGGTAGATAAATCCACAAAGATGGGGAGAAGCCAGCGCAAAAAGGTTGAAAATTCCAAGAACCAGAATGACTCTTCTGCTCCAGAGGATCACAACTCCTCACCAGCAAGGGAACAAAACTGGATGGAGAATGAGTTTGATGAATTGACAGAAGTAGGCTTCAGAAGATGGGTAATAACAAACTCCTCCAAGCTAAAGGAGCATGTTTTAACCCAATGCAAGGAAGCTAAGAACCTAGAAAAAAGGTCAGATGCATTGCTAACTAGAATAACTAATTTAGAGAAGAACATAAATGACCTGATGGAGCTGAAAAACACTGAATGAGAACTTTGTGAAGCATATACAAGTATCAATAGACAAATCAATCAGGCGGAAGAAAGAATGTCAAGAATGAAGAGCAACTTAATGAAATACAGCACGAAGACAAGATTAGAAAAAAAGAATGAAAAGGAATGAACAAAACCTCCAAGAAATATGGGACTATGTGAAAAGACCTAACCTATGTTTAACTGGTGTACCTGAAAGTGATGGGGAGAACAGAAGAAAGTTGGAAAACACTCTTCAGTATATTATCCAGGAGAACTTCCCCAACCTAGCAAGACAGGCCCAGGCCAACATTCAAATTCAGGAAATACACAGAATACCACAAAGATACTCCTTGAGAAAAGCAATCCCAAGACACATAATCATCAGATTCACCAAGGTTGAAATGAAGGAAAAAATGTTTAACATTTTTCCTTCAGCCACTGAGAAAGGTCAGGTTAGCCACAAAGGGAAGCCCATCAGACTAACAGCAGATCTCTCTGCAGAAACCCTACCAGCCAGAAGAAAGTGGGGGGAAAATATTCAACATTTTTAAAGAGAAGAATTTTCAACCCATAATTTCATATCCAGCCAAACTAAGCTTCATAAGCAAAGGGAAATAAAATCCTTTACAGACAAGCAAATGCTGAGAGATTTTGTCACCACCAGGCCTGCCTTACAAAAGCTTCCTGGCGGCTTTGCCTTTCAAGAGCTCCTGAAGGAAGCACTAAACATGAACAGGAACAACTGGTACCAGCACCTGCAAAAACATACCAAATTGTAAAGACCATCGACTCTACGAAGAAACTACATCAACTAACAGGAAAAATAACCAGCTAGCTTCATAATGACAGGATCAAATTCACACATAACAATATTAACCTTAATTGTAAACAGGCTAAATGCCCCAATTAAAAGACACAGACTGGCAAACTGGATAGTCAAGACACATCAGAGTGTTGTATTCAGGAGACCCATCTCATGTGCAAAGACACACATAGGCTCAAAATAAAGGGATGGAGGAACATTTACCAAGCAAATGGAAAGCAAAATAAAGCAGGGGTTGCAATCCCTGTCTCTGATAAAACAGACTTTAAACCAACAAAGATCAACAGAGACAAAGAAGGGCATTACATAATAGTAAAGGGATCAATGCAACAAGAAGAGCTAACTATCCTAAATATATCTGCACCACATACAGGAGCACCCGGATTCACTAGGCAAGTTCTTAGAGACCTACAAAGAGAATTAGACTCCCACACAATAATAGTGAGAGACTTTAACACCCCACTGTCAATATTAGATCAACAAGACAAAAAATTAACAAGGATGTTCAGGACTTGATATCAGCTCTCAACCAAGTGGACCTAATAGACATCTACAGAACTCTCCACCCCAAATCAAGAGAATATGCTTTCACCTCAGCACCACATCATACTTATTCTAAAACTGGCCACATAACTGGAAGTAAAACACTCCTCAGCAAATGCAAAAGAACAGAAATCATAACGAACAGTCTCTCAGACCACAGTGCAATCAAATTAGAACTCGGGGTTAAGAAACTCACTCAAAACCACACAACTGCATGGAAACTGAACAACATGCTCCTGAGTGACTACTGGGTAAATAACAAAATTAAGGCAGAAATAAAGATGTTTTTTGAAACCAATGAGAACAAAGACTTAACGTACCAGAATCTCTGGGACACAGCTAAAGCAGTGTTTAGATGGAAATTTATAGCATTAAATGCCCACAGGAGAATGTGGGAAAGATCTAAAATCAATACCCTAACATCACAATTAAAAGAACTAAAAAAGCAAGAGCAAACATATTCAAAAGGTAGCAGAAGACAAGAAATAACTAAGATCAGAGCAGAACTGAAGGAGATAGAGACAGGAAAACCCTTCAAAAAAAATCAATAAATCCAGGAGCTGGTTTTTTGAAAAGATCAACAAAATAGATAGACCGCTAGCCAGACTAATAAAGAAGAAGAGAAAAGAATCAAATAGATGCAGTAAAAAATGATAAAGTGGATATCACCATTGATCCCACAGAAATACAAACTACCATCAGAGAATACTATAAACACCTCTATGGAAATAAACTAGAAAATCTGGAAGAAATGGATAAATTCCTGAACACATATAACCTCCCAAGTCTAAACTAGGAAGAAGTCGAATCCCTGAATAGACCAATAACAAATTCTGAAATTGAGGCAGTAATTAATAGCCTAACAACCAAAAACAGTCCAGAACAAGACAGATTCACAGCTGAATTCTACCAGAGGTACAAAGAGGAGCTGGTATCATTCCTTCTGAAACTATTCCAAACAATAGAAAAAGAGGGACTCCTCCCTAACTCATTTTATGAGGCCAGCTTCATCCTGACACCAAAATCTGGCAGAGACACAACAAACAAGGAAAATTTCAGGCCAATATCCCTGATGAATATCGATGTGAAAATCTTCAATAAAATACTGACAAACCAAGTCCAGCAGCACATCAAAAAGCTTATCCACCACAATCAAGTCAGCTTCATCCCTGGGAAGCAAGGCCGGTTCAACATATGCAAATCAATAAACATAATCCATCACATAAACAGAAAAAATGACAGAAACCACATGATTACCTCCAAAGATGCAGAAAAGGCCTTTGACAAAATTCAACACCATTTCATGCTAAAAACACTCAGTAAACTAGGTACTGATGGAACGTATCTCAAAATAATAAGAGCTATTTATGACAAACCCACAGCCAATATCATACTGAATGGGCAAAAACTGGAAGCATTCCCTTTCAAAACTAGCATAAGACAAGGATGCCCTCTCTCACCACTCCTATTCAACATAGTATTGGAAGTTCTAGCCAGGGCAATCAGGCAAGCAAAAGAAATATAGGGTATTCAAATAGGAAGAGAGGAAATCAAATTGTCTTTGTTTGCAGATGACATGATTATATATTTAGAAAACCCCATAGTCTCAGCCCCAAATCTCCTTAAGCTGATAAGCAACTTAAGCAAAGTCTCAGAATACAAAATCAATGTGCAAAAATTACAAGCATTCCTAGACACCAATAATAGACAAACAGCCAAATCATGAGTGAATTCCCATTCACCATTGCTACTAACAGAATAAAATACGTAGGAATACAGCTTACAAGGGATGTGAAGGACCTCTTCGAGGAGAGCTACAAACCACTGCTCAAGGAAATAAGAGAGGACACAAACAAACGGAAAAACATTCCATGCTCATGGATAGGAAGAATCAGTATGGTGAAAATGGCCATACTGACCAAAGTAATTTGTAGATTCAATGCTATCCCCATCAAGCTACCACTGACATTCTTCACAGAATTAGAAAAAAAACTACTTTAAATTTCATATAGAACCAAACAAGAACCCACATAGCCACGACAATCCTAAGCAAAAAGAACAAAGCTGGAGGCACCATGCTACCTGACTTCAAGCTATACTACAAGGCTACAGTAATGAAAACACCATGGTACTGGTAACAAAACAGATATACAGACCTATGGAACACAACAGAGGCCTCAGAAATAACACCACACATCTACAACCATCTGATCTTTGACAAACCTGACTAAAACAAGCAATAAGGAAAGGATTCTCTATTTAATAAATGGTGTTGGGAAAACTGGCTAGCCACATCCTGAAAACTGAAACTGGACCCCTTCCTTACACCTTATACAAAGATTAACTCAAGATGGATTGAAGACTTAAACGTAAGACCTAAAATCATAAAAACTCTAGAAGAAAATCTAGGCAATACTGTTCAGGACATAGGCATGGGCAAAGACTTCATGACTAAAACACCAAAAGCAATGGAAACAAAAGGCAAAATTGACAAATGGGATCTAATTAAACTAAAGAGATTCTGCACAGCAAAAGAAACTATCATCAGAGTGAACAGGCAACCCACAGAATGGGAGAACATTTTTTGCAATCTATCCATTTGACAAAGGCTAATATCCAGAATCTACAAAGAACTTAAACAAATTTACAAGAAAAAAACAACCCCATCAAAAAGTGGGCAAAGGATATGAACAGACACTCCTCAAAAGAAGACATTTATGTAGCCAACAAACATATGAAAAACAGCTCATCATCACTGGTCATTAGAGAAATGCAAATCAAAACCACAATGAGATACCATCTCACGCCAGTTAGAATGGCTATGATTAAAAAGTCAGGAAACAACAGATGCTGGAGAGGATTTGGAGAAATAGGAACACTTTTACACTGTTGGTGGGAGTGTAAATTAGTTCAGCCATTGTGGAAGAGACTGTGGCGATTCTTCAAGGATCTAGAATCAGAAATACCATTTGACCCAGCCATCCCATTACTGGGTATATAACCAAAGGATTAGAAATTATTCTACTATAAAGACACATGCACATGCATGCTTTTTGCAGCACTGTTCACAGTAGCAAAGACTTGCAACCAACCCAAATGCCCATCAGTGATAGACTGGATAAAGTAAATGTGGCACATGTACACCATGGACTCCTATGCAGCCATAGAAAAGGATTAGTTCATGTCTTTTGCAGGGACATGGATGAAGCTGGAAACCACGATTCTCAGCAAACTAACACAAGAACAGAAAACCAAACACCGCATATTCTCACTCATAAGTGGGAGGCGAACAATGAGAACACATGGACACAGGGAGGGGAATATCACACACTGGTCCTGTTGGGTGATGGGGGTGTAGGGGAGGGATAGCATTACAAGAAATACCTAATGTAGATGACGGATTGATGAGTGCAGCAAACCACCATGGCACTTGTATACCTATGTAACAAACCTGCACTTTCTGCACATGTATCCCAAAACTTTAAGTATAATAAAAAATTTTTAAAAAACAACAACAACAAAAAACATAAATAAAAGAGCAAGGTGTTATGCTACTTGGGAGACAGAAAACAATATGATGAGTCAGGCTATAGTATGTATTTGGAAGATAGAGTGAGAGACAGAGAATGAGAGATAGAAAAAAGAGATATAAAAAGAATTTAAAAATTTTTATTATTATACCAAATTATTGATATATTTTCTAAAGAAATGTTATAAAAAATAGAAATGCAAAAGTTAAGTTTAAGAAAGAGAACTAAAATAGAATGGTTAATCAAATTGCAGAATATCCATTAAATAGAATAGTACATAATAATGAAAATAAATAAACTACAGCTAAATGCCACATGGATGGAACTCATAAATACAGTGCTGAGCAAAGGAATCCAAAAGCAAAGAACTATATATATATTATTCCATTTTTATATGTGTCAAAAACAGGCAAAATTAATCTATAGAGTTGGAAATTAGGATACCTGGGGGTAAGTGACTGGAAGGTAACATAGGGGAGTTTCTATGAATCTAGTAATTTTCTGTATCTTGATTTAGGTGTTTGTTACACAACGGCAAAGTTATTTCAAGGTGTACACTTAAGATTTAAACAGTTTCCTGATGATTCAGTAAAATTTACAAACAAACAAAGAAATAGGGAAAGTCTATATAAAGAGTGATCCTTTAGAATATACTATAGAGGGAAAAAAGCAAGACACAAAACTGTATAACATGCTACATTAACATGTAGCATTAATTTTGCCTGTTTTTTGACGCATACAAAAATGGAATAATATATATGAAGTTTTCTTTCGGCTTCTTTTGCTCAGCACTGTATTTATGAGTTTCATCCATGTTGCATTTAACTGTAGTTTATTTATTTTCATTGTTATGTAGCATGTTATGCAGTTTTCTGTCTTGCTTTCTTCCTTCTTTATAATATATTCTAAAGATCTTGCTAATTTGTTTAACAATATATTGTGTGTAATAAAATATATATAAATATATATGTATATTTTGTCTCGCTTTTTTCCCTCTTTATAATATATTATAAAGACCTTGCTAATTTGTTTAAAGGTCTTGCTAATTTGTTTAACAAAAAAATATGATATTCTCTCTATATATGATATATGTAAAAATATATGGTTTTCTATTTGGCTTATGTACATATAAGAAAGAAAATTATGTTACATATTATATTTGCTTATATATGTATGTAATGAACGTCTATAAAGAAAAAACAAATTAATTACACTGTTTAGCTCTGCTGAGGGGAAGTAAGTAAGTGTCCAGGGGACAGGAATAGAAGAAAGATCCTTTATTGCATACACTGTTGTACCTTTTGAATGTCAAACCCAGTAAATATATTAGTTATGCAACACTTTGAAAAGAATCAAAGCCAGTTCAAATTGCCTTTATAAAATATTTTAAATGTGGGTTATAAATTGGGTCTGCAAAAGCCAATTCAGATGGATCCAGTTTGCCAGAGATTTCATAAATTATGGAGTTTTCAACAAAATATTGCTTCCTTCCAGTTTAGTTAATAGTTTTCAGAAATTCTCTGATAGTAAGTAGCAGAACACTAGAGTAAGAAAAATTAAATATACATAATAAGTACAGATAATTTAAGGGTCTGTATATCGTAGCCTACATTTGAATTTCACTCAAAAGCCATATAAAACAACTCTATGCTTTCTCCAGTATTACATAAATTTATGATTGTGATAGCAAGGACTGCTATGCCTAAAATATGAATGTTTTATTTTATTCATTACTCAGATCATGCATTACAAAAATCAAGACATTTTTTCTTCCCTATTTAGGTTTAAAATCGTATTTGTAAGAAGTCCAAGGATCATCCACCAGAAAGGCTTTAATATATAAGCCTTACCAGATGCAAAGGTTCATACTTGTAATCCTAATACTTTGTAAGGCCAAGGCAGGAGGATAGCTTGAGCCCAGTAGTTCAAGTCTAGCCTAGGCAACACAGTGAGACCCCAGGCCAAGCACAGTGGCTCATGCCTCTAATCCCAGCACTTTGGGAGGCTAAGGTGGGAGGATTGCTTGAGCCCAGGAATTTGAAATCAGCCTGGGCAACATGGAGAGAATCTGTTTCTACAAAAAAAAAAAAAAAATTAACATTAGTCAGGCATCATAGTGCACACCTCAGGAGGCTAAGGTGGGAGGACTGCTGTAGCCCAGGAATTCAAGGTTGTGTGAGCCAAGCTGATGCTACTGTACTCCAGCTTAGGTGACAGAGTGAGACCCTGTCTCAAAAAAAGCATAGTAAGAAACCATCTCTACTTTAAAAAAAAAATAGCTGGGTATGGTAGCACATGCCCATAGTCCCAGCACTAAGGAGGCTGAGGCGGGAGGATTGCTTGAGCCCAGGAGTTTGAGGCTGCAGTGAGCTAGGATCACACCATTGCACTCCAGCCTGGGAGACAGAGCAGGACCCTGTCTCCAATAATAATACTCCAATAATAGTAATAATAATAATGAAAGCCTATTACTTAACAATCTAAGGCTGGATTCTGCCTTCAAAAATTGTAAGACTAAAGACTGTAGGTGCCCTAATAAAATAAGCTAAAATTTATAGTATAAATTTATAAACTGAAACACATTTAGCATAAACATAAGAGTACTTAGAAAATTTACAGAATTAAACGGCTAATATCAGATGTTTTGGAGAATGTCCCAAAAGATGCTTGGTTAAATTCTCCTATAGGACCTGAACCTCCCATTCACCATACTTCGATAGATAATTTTATCTCCTCCAATAAGTTATGATCATAATGAATATTCTCATGTTACATGACAATATGTATGTATCTTTCTTAAGAGATAAATATCACATTTATCTTTAATGTAAGCATTAAAACATTTTCAAACTTCCTGTGATTAAAACTTATCTCAAATCTGTCAGCTTGCTCTTTTATGTTTCTACCAATTAATCTAACTCAGTTGAGATAATAAAATCACTATTGGAAATCATCACCACTAATCAATTCTTCCTCCCAAAAAGTCCATAAAAGGGGCCAGAACATTGCCTTCAACATTCCAATTGTGAGGGGAAATAAAAACACTCTGTCCATCCACATAAAAGTATACAGTCAGATCTATTCAAAGTATTAGAAGAAAAATCTTACAAACAGAGAGAAAGATAAAATCAATATGGTGATCTAAATAGGTTAATATTTTACTGGTAAAGAAAAAGAAACAGTAAAACAACTCTTTTTAAAATTTTATTATTATTATACTTTAAGTTTTACGGTACATGTGCACAATGTGCAGGTTTGTTACATATGTATACATATGCCATGTTGGTGTGCTGCACCCATTAACTCGTCATTTACCATTAGGTATATCTCCTAATGCTATCCCTCCCCCCTCCCCCCACCCCACAACAGGCCCTGGAGTGTGATGTTCCCCTTCCTGTGTCCATGTGTTCTCATTGTTCAATTCCCACCTGTGAATGAGAACATGCGGTGTTTGCTTTCTTGTCCTTGTGATAGTTTGCTGAGATGATGGTTTCCAGTTTAATCCATGTCCCTACAAAGGACATGAACTCATCCTTTTTATGGCTGCATAGTATTCCATGGTGTATATGTGCCACATTTTCTTCATCCAGTCTATCGTTGTTGGACATTTGGGTTGGTTCCAAGTCTTTGCTATTGTGAATAGTGCCACAATAAACATTCGTGCACATGTGTCTTTATAGCAGCATGATTTATAATCCTTTGGGTATATACCCAGTAATGGGATGGCTGGGTCAAATGGTATTTCTAGTTCTAGATCCCTGAGGAATCGCCACACTGACTTCCACAATGGTTGAACTAGATTACAGTCCCACCAACCGTGTAAAAGTGTTCCTATTTCTCCACATCCTCTCCAGCACCTGTTGTTTCCTGACTTTTTAATGATTGCCATTCTAACGGGTGTGAGATGGTATCTCATTGTGGTTTTGATTTGCATTTCTCTGATGGCCAGTGATGATGAGCATTTTTTCATGTGTCTTTTGGCTGCATAAATGTCTTCTTTTGAGAAGTGTCTGTTCATATCCTTTGCCCACTTTTTGATGGGGTTGTTTGTTTTTTTTTCTTGTAAATTTGTTTGAGTTCATTGTAGATTCTGGATATTAGCCCTTTGTCAGATGAGTAGGTTGCGAAAATTTTCTCCCATTTTGTAGGTTGCCTGTTCACTCTGATGGTAGTTTCTTTTGCTGTGCAGAAGCTCTTTAGTTTAATTAGATGCCATTTGTCAATTTTGGCTTTTGTTGTCATTGCTTTTGGTGCTTTAGACATGAAGTCCTTGCCCATGCCTATGTCCTGAATGGTATTGCCTAGGTTTTCTTCTAGGGTTTTTATGGTTTTAGGTCTAACATTTAAGTCTTTAATCCATCTTGAATTAATTTTTGTATAAGGTGTAAGGGATCCAAATTCAGCTTTCTACACATGTCTAGCCAGTTTTCCCAGCACCATTTATTAAATAGGGAATCCTTTCCCCATTTCTTGTTTTTGTCAGGTTTGGCAAAGATCAGATGGTTGTAGATATGCAGAATTATTTCTGAGGGCTCTGTTCTGTTCCATTGATCTATATCTCTGTTTTGGTACCAGTACCATGCTGTTTTGGTTACTGTAGCCTTGTAGTATAGTTTGAAATCAGGGAGTGTGATGCCTCCGACTTTGTTCTTTTGGCTTAGGATTGACTTGGCAATGGGGGATTTTTTTGGCTCCATATGAACTTTAAAGTAGTTTTTTCCAATTCTGTGAAGAAAGCCATTGGTAGTTTGATGGGGATGGCATTGAATCTATAAATTATCTTGGGCAATATGGCCATTTTCACGATATTGATTCTTCCTACCCATGAGCATGGAATGTTCTTCCATTTGTTTGTATCCTCTATTTCCTTGAGCAGTGGTTTGTAGTTCTCCTTGAAGAGGTCCTTCACGTCCCTGTAAGGTGGATTCCAAGGTATTTTATTCTCTTTGAAGCAATTGTGAATGGGAGTTCACTCATGATTTGGCTCTCTGTTTGTCTGTTATTTGTGTATAAGAATGCTTGTGATTTTTGTACATTGATTTTGCATCCTGAGACTTTGCTGAAGTTGCTTATCAGCTTAAGGAGATTTTGGGCTGAGACAATGGGGTTTTCTAGATACACAATCATGTCATCTGCAAACAGGGACAATTTGACTTTCTCTTTTCCTAATTGAATACCCTTTATTTCCTTCTCCTGCCTGATTGCCCTGGCCAGAACTTCCAACACTATGTTGAATAGGAGTGGTGAGAGAGGGCATCCCTGTCTTGTGCCAGTTTTCAAAGGGAATGCTTCCAGTTTTTGCCCATTCAATATGATATTGACTGTGGGTTTGTCATAGATAGCTCTTATTATTTTGAGATATGTCCCATCAATACCTAATTTGTTGAGAGTTTTTAGCATGAAGGGTTGTTGAATTTTGTCAAAGGCCTTTTATGCATCTATTGAGATAATCATGTGGTTTTTGCCTTTGGTTCTGTTTATATGCTGGATTACATTTATTGATTTGCGTATATTGAACCAGCCTTCCATCCCAGGGATGAAGCCCACTTGATCATGGTGGATAAGCTTTTTGATGTGCTGCTGGATTCTGTTTGCCAGTATTTTATTGAGGATTTTTGCATCGATGTTCATCAGGGATATTGGTCTTAAATTCTCTTTTTTGGTTATGTCTCTGCCAGGCTTTGGTATCAAAGCCTGGATGCCAGGATGATGCGGGCCTCATAAAATGAGTTAGGGAGGATTCCCTCTTTTTCTATTGATTGGAATAGTTTCAGAAGGAATGGTACCAGCTCCTCCTTGTACCTCGGGTAGAATTCGGTTGTGAATCCATCTGGTCCTGGACTGTTTTTGGTTGGTAAGCTATTGATTATTGCCACAATTTCAGAACCTCTTATTGGTCTATTCAGATATTCAACGTCTCCCTGGTTTAGTCTTGGGAGGGTGTATGTGTCCAGGAATTTATCCATTTCTTCTAGATTTTCTAGTTTATTTCCATAGAGGTGTTTGTAATATTCTCTGATGGTATTTCTGTGGGATCGGTGGTGATATCCCCTTTATCATTTTTTATTGCATCTATTTGATTCTTCTCTCTTTTCTTCTTTACTAGTCTTGCTAGCGGTCTATCAATTTTGTTGATCTTTTTGAAAAACCAGCTCCTGGCTTCATTAATTTTTTGAAGGGTTTTTTTGTGTCTCTATTTCCTTCAGTTCTGCTCTGATTTTAGTTATTTCTTGCCTTCTGCTAGCTTTTGAATGTGTTTCCTCTTGCTTCTCTAGTTCTATTAATTTTGATGTTAGGGTGTGAATTTTGGATCTTTCCTGCTTTCTCTTGTGGGCATTTAGTGCTATAAATTTCCCTCTACACACTGCTTTGAATGTGTCCCAGAGATTCTGGTATGTTGTGTCTTTGTTTTCGTTGGTTTCAAAGAACATCTTTATTTCTGTCTTCTTTTCGTCACGTACCCAGTAGTCATTCAGGAGCAGGTTGTTCAGTTTCCATGTAGTTGAGCGGTTTTGAGTGAGTTTCTTAATCCTGACTTCTAGTTTGATTGCACTGTTGTCTGAGAGACAGTTTGTTATAATTTCTGTTCTTTTACATTTGCTGAGGAGAGCTTTACTTCCAACTATGTGGTCAATTTTGGAATAGGTGTGGTGTGGTGCTGAAAAAAAATGTATATTCTGTTGATTTGGGGTGGAGAGTTCTGTAGATGTCTATTAGGTCTGCTTGGTGCAGAGCTGAGTACAATTCCTGGGTATCCTTGTTAACTTTCTGTCTCGTTGATCTGTCTAATGTTGACAGTGGGGTGTTAAAGTCTCCCATTATTATTGTGTGGGAGTCTAAGTCTCTTTGTAGGTCACTCAGGACTTCCTTTATGAATCTGGGTGCTCCTGTATTGGGTGCATATATATTTAGGATAGTTAGCTCTTCTTGTTGAATTGATCCCTTTACCATTATGTAATGGCCTTCTTTTTCTCTTTTGATCTTTGTTGGTTTAAAGTCTGTTTTATCAGAGACTAGGATTGCAACCCCTGCTTTTTTTTGTTTTCCATTTGCTTGGTAGATCTTCCTCCATCCCTTTATTTTGAGCCTATGTGTGTCTCTGCACATGAGATGGGTTTCCTGAATACAGCACACTGATAGGTCTTGACTCTTTATCCAATTTGCCAGTCTGTGTCTTTTAATTGGAGCATTTAGTCCATTTATATTGAAAGTTAATATTGTTATGTGTGTATTTGGTCCTGTCATTATGATGTTAGCTGGTTATTTTGCTCGTTAGTTGATGCAGTTTCTTCCTAGCCTTGATGGTCTTTACATTTTGGCATATTTTTGCAGTGGCTGGTACCGGTTGTTCCTTTCCATGTTTAGTGCTTCCTTCAGGAGCTCTTTTAGGGCAGGCCTGGTGGTGACAAAATCTCTCAGCATTTGCTTGTCTGTAAAGTATTTTATTTCTCCTTCAATTATGAAGCTTAGTTTGGCTGGATATGAAATTCTGGGTTGAAAATTCTTTTCTTTAAGAATGTTGAATATTGGCCCCCACTCTCTTCTGAACAACTCTTTACTGATCTTAAAGTTTTTTGATATCCTTGAAATTTCTGCTACATTACTTATTTTAAACTAAAATAACCAGAATTAGGACTAAAGAAATAAGTCCTATCTAGTTTCAACAAATTTCTAAAATATAAATTCCTTTCCTCTTAAAAAAAAAGACTAAGTTTAGAGATTTGGCGTGAGATAGCTGAGTAGAAGTGGGTAATAAGCACCACTCTCATGGAGAGAAGAAACAGTGGTGAATGGACACTAGCTCTTCAACCAGAACATCCAGGTGGAAACATGGGGATTTATCAGGGAAACAGCATCACCCACAGTGAACAGAGAAGAGCAAGACAGGACAATTGCCCACCCAGAAGTGGCATGGAGCCAGAGGAGTCCTCACATCACAGGGAACAGTGAGTGAGTGAGAGTCCCCAGGGATTCACACTTCTGTCATGGACCTTTGCATCCTTGGACTCAGGATCAGGAGATTTCTCATGATCCCTGCAACCAGGGCTTCCAGACAAACATGCAAAGAGTTATGTGGAGTCTTGGCAGAGCCATCACTCAGGTACTCACAGACTCCCAGGAGTGCTGGATCCCCAGGCACCTCAACACCAGCAGATGCAGCTCTAGCAATGGAGGAGGCCAGGCTCCCTCACGTCTCCAGGAAAGGGGCTGAATCCATGTGGCTGAAGAGTAACTAGGCCCAGTAGACCTTATCCTGCAAGGTGCTACAGGCCTCGTCTCTGCAGCACCTTGCAGGATAAGACCCATGGGCCTGGGACACTAGTGAGACCACCACAGCCCTACCAGAATTCTCGGATCAGGAGCAGCTCTGTGCTTTTCTGGGACAAGCTTCTAGAGGGAGAGGCAGACCACATCCACAACCCTCCCTCCTGTTTGCCCTCAGGCTGGGGAGTGTACTCAGTGATTAGGGGCAATCGTAGACACTCAGTAAAAGGCAGCCACCTTAAGGAAAAGTAGCCAGATTGTTTTACACAGGAGCCCCCACCCCTGCTACTTCTCACTGAGCAAGGCCTCCTGACCTAGAACCTCAACCACCCCACACTGGACTCTTAGGCCACTACCAGCTCTCCACTTCCCTGGGACAGAGCTCTCAGTGGGAAAGGCAGGCCACCATGTTTGTTGCCCTACAACCTTCCCCACTGATGCCCTCAAGATCAGGAGGGTACACAGTGATTAGGGACTACCATGAACCCCTAGCACAGTGCAGCCACCTTACAGAAAAGCAGCAGACTGTTTTCTACATGGGTCCCCAACCCTGCTATGGTTCTCTGGGCAGTGTCTCCCTACCGGGGTCTCTAGCCACCCCCTACCTAGGCTCTCAGGCTAGTAGCAGCTCTGTGCTTTTCTGGGACAGAGCTCACAGAAGGAGCAAGCAGGCCACCATTTTTGCTGCCCTGCAGCCCTTGCTCCTGTTGCCCTTGGGATTGAGAGGACATATAGTGGTTGGGGACCGATACAAACCTCTAGCACAACACAGCCACTTTATGGAAAAGCAGCCAGACTTGTCCACATGCCTCCACTACTCTTCACTGGGCAGTGCCTCTTGACCTGGGCTCCCAGCACCTGTAGTCCCAGCTACTCAGGAGGCTGAGGCAGGATAATCGCTCAAACCAGGGAGGCGGAGGTTGCAGTGAGCCAAGATTGTGCCACTGCACTCCAGCCTGGGCAATAGAGCAAGACTCTGTCTTAAAAAAAAAAAAAAAGACTCTAACTGATCTGATAGAGTGGAAAACACACTACAAGAATTTCATAATGTAATTGCAAGTATTAACAGAAGAATAGACCAAGTTCAGGAAAGAATCTGAGAGCTCAATGACTGGTTCTCTGAACTAACTCAGTCAGAGAAAGAAAATGAACAAAACACTCAAAAAATAAAGGATTATGTAAAGAGACCAAATCTCCAATTCATTAGTATCCCTGCAAGAGATAAGGAGAGAGCAAGCAACTTGGAAAATATATTTCAGAATATCACCCATGAAAACGTCCCCAGCCTCACTAGAGAGGCCAAAATACAAATTCAGGAAATGCAGAGAACCAGCGTGAGATACTACACAAAAAGACCATGGCCAAGACACATAATTAGATTCTCCAAGGCTGAAAGAAAAGGGAAAAAGTGAAAGGCAACTGGAGAGAAGGGGCATGTCACCTACAAAGGAAACCCCATCAGGCTAACAGAGGACCTTTCAATAGAAACCTTACAAGCCAGAAGAAATTGGGGGTCTATATTCAGCCTTACTAAATAAAACAATTTCCAAGCAAGAATTTCATATCCAGCCAAACTAAGCTTCATAAACCTAGGAGAAATTAGATTCTTTCCCGATAAGCAAATGCTAAGGGAATTTATGACCACCAGACCTGCCTTACAAGAGGTCCTGAAAGGAGTGCTAAATATGGAAAGCAAAGACTGTTATAAGCTACTACAAAAAGACACTTAAGTATACAAACTGTTGACCCTATAAAGCAACCACACAAACAAGTATGCACAATAGCCAGCTAGAAACATGATGAAAGGATCAAATCCACACACATAAATATTAAACTTGAATGTAAATTGGCTAAATGCTCCAATTAAAAGGCACAGAGTGGCAAGCTGTATAAAGAAGCAGGACTGAATGGTATGCTGTCTTCAAGAGACCCATCTCACATGTAATGACACCCATAGGCTCAAAGTAAAGGGATAGAGGAAAATCTACCAAGCAAATGGCAGTCAGAAAAAAGCAGGGGTTGTTATTTCAGACAAAACATACTTTAAGCTAACAAAGATCAAAAAAGACAAGGAAGGACATTACGTAATGGTAAAGGGTTCAATTCAACAAGAATGCCTAACTATCCTAAATATATATGCACCCAACACAGGAGTACCCGGATTCATAAAGCGAGTTCTTAGAGACCTACAAAGAGACTTAGATTCCCACACAATAATAGTGGGAGACTTCAACACCCTACTGACAGTTTTTAGATAGACCATCCAGTCAGAAAATTAACAAAGATTTTCAGGATCTAAACTTAACACTTCACCAAATGGAACTATTAGACATCTACAAAATGCCCTACCCAAAAGGAACAGAATATACCATCTTCTTATCTGTACATAGCACATACTCTAAAATCAACCACACAATTGGACATAAAACAATCCTCAGAAAATCTAAAAAAAATGAAACCATACCAACCACACTCTCAGGCCATAATGCAATAAAAATAAAAATCAATACTAAGAAAATCGCTCAAAACCATACAATTGGATGGAAATTAAACAACCTGGTCCTGAATGACTTTTGGGTAAACAATGAAATTATGGCAGACATCAAGAAATTCTCTGGAACTACTGAGAACCAAGAAAACATACCAGAATCTCTAGGACACAGCTAAAGTAGTGCTAAGAGGAAAGTTTATAGTGCTAAAGGTCCACATCAAAAATTCATAAAATCTCAAATTAGCAACCTAACATTACACCTAGAGGAACTAGAGAAACAATACAAAACAAACCCAAAGCTAGCAAAAGACAAGAAATAACTAAAATCAGAGCTGAAATGAAGGAAACTAAGAGGCAAAAAAACCATACAAAAGATCAATGAGTACAAGAGTTGGTTTTTTGACATAAGAAATATGATAGACCACTAGCTAGGCTAATAAAGAGAAAAAGAGAGAAGATCCAAATAAACAATCATAAATGCCAAAAAAGACATTACCACCAACCCCACAGAAATATAAAAAACCCTCAGAGACTGCTATGAACACCTCTATGCACATAGACTAGAAAACCTAAAATAAATGAATACATTCCTGGAAACATACAAACTCCCAAGATTGAGCCAGGGAGAAATTGAATCCCTGGACAGACCAATAAAGAGTTCCAAAATTAAATCAGTAATAAAAAGCCTACCAACCATAAAGGACCCAGGACAAGAATGATTCACAGCCAAATTCCACCAGATGCATAAAGAATAGCTTGTACCATTCTAACTGAAACTACTCCAAAAAATTGAGGAGGAGGAACTCCTCTCCAACTGATTCTATGAGGCCAGCTTCATCCTGATACCAAAACCTGGCAGAAATACAACAAAAAAATCTTCAGGCCAATATCCTTGATGAACACAGATGTAAAAATTCTCAACAAAATACTAGCAAACTGAATCCTGCAGCACGTGAAAAAGCTAATCAACCACACTCAAGCAGGCTTTATCCCAGGATGCAAGGTTGGTTCAATAATCACAAATACATAAATGCGATCTACTACATAAACAGAACTGAAAACAAAAACCACATGACTATCTCAATAGATGCAGAAAAGTCTTCTGGTACAATTCGATGTCCTTCATGTTAAAACCCCTCAACAAACTAGACATTAAAGGAACATATTTCAAAATAAGAAGAGCCATCTATGACAAACTCACAGCCAACATCATACTGAATGGGCAAAACCTGGAAGCATTCCCCTTGAAAACCAAAACAAGACAAGGATGCCATCTCTCACCATTCCTAGTCAACATAGACTGGAAGTCCTAGGCAGAGCAATCATGCAAGAGAAAGAAATAAAAGGCCTGTAAATATTAATAGGAAGAAAGGAAGTCAAATTATCTCTCTTTGAAGATAATATGAGTCTACACATAGAAAACCCCATAATCTCAGCCCAAAAGCTCCTTAAGCTAATAAACACTGCATTAGTAGGTGACTGGATCTATATCAATTACGCATTTTCTACAAAAAAGAAAACACTATGAAAGTAAGCATAAACATTAAATTATTTCTAGCTGTTGAGATTATGAGGAAAAAAGCCTGTCAAGTTAACAAAAACTTGCTCAGGAAATAATTTTGTTGTACATTAAGAAATTGTTTAATTCATAGGTTCTTACCGTTCCCGGTTAAATTTAAGAGAATGGAGTATGGCTGGCCTTTTTTGTCTAAGGTTCCACAAATGAAGTGTATCATCTGAACTTGCACTGACCAAGGCACCCTAGAACAAAAAGAAGATAAAGTAAGTGTGTGATTTACTTAATTTAGGGTTTTTTTAATCACAAACAAGCTAATTTACTCAATGTTTACTACCTGAAGAGTTACTTTTGTTATCTCAGAAATATAAGGAAGGATAGGTGCATAAACTTCAATCAGGAAGGGTAAGAATGCTGAAAGTAGAAGAGGCAACTGACCCACTGCATTTCAACGGTCAGGGAGACTAGCTTAAGGAATATTTATTTACCAATAGAGAGGATTAATTATTATAGCACTGTTATGGCCATTAAAGGTTTTTCTTTGGGAAAAAATAGTTTAGGGATGGTTTTTGTTTCTACTGTTTACACATATACTATATAGCCTTACAGAGAAGAAAATATTCAATGCAGTCTTACAAAATTGAATACAGGTCATATAAAAATTCTCCTTTGCAAGAATTTTCTGTATATTTGGAAAGCGTATATTCTTCCTAAAAAGTATATTTGGTATAATTTAATTTGCTTCTTATAGTCCAAGAAGCTTCATCAATTATAAAGGAAATATCCATAATAAAAGAAAACATTTCTCCAACTAGAATTTAGTATAACTATAAAATTATACTAAGATTCCTTTTATACAGCACCACCAAATACAAATGAATCCTATTTCGCATACAATAGGATATTTTCTACCTCTTAATGTGGCAGAAAGCATGTGGACAGATAATAACTGTTTGTATGACTTTGTATATATGCTTAAACTATTTATTTGACTGGGTTAAATCAGATCATTTTAAAATGTTAGAACTTTTACCATAATGACAGCTAACCAGCTGAAAATGTCGATGCTTACCCATTCACAGATCCTAAATCCAGAGCATTAAATGTGTTCTCTAAGAGTGATCTTTCAGAACCTTGGTTGTCCAGAGATACCTAAAAGGCTTTTTATATTTTCCAAAGTACTTTGTTAGAAGTAATCTCTCATAGTTTACAGTATCAATCACAGATATCCCATTTAGATGCTAGGAAGAACGATATTGAAATTGCTAGCATTTATTTCTTCTTTAGGAATTAGAAGAGAGAAGATAGGAATCTAAATGCCCTTCTATAATAATTTCTAAGCCAAAAAAATGCTCATGTATCCTATGATAGGTCTCTTTATATTTGGTACCTGTGATTTTAGTCTCAGAGAGGAATGGCTTTATAAAAATAGAAACATAATCAAAGATCATATCCAAGAAAATATTTAGAAATTTGTATGATTTGCACATTTATATCTAATTACATACATACATGTTCAAAGATGTATATATTGATATATACATCTTAACATGAACTCAGATAATTTCCTTCAATGAAATAGGAGGTATTCTATATATAAGCCTTGATAATTTTTGTGTTTGTTTGCCTGTTTTATTTGTATACTGTACTTATGCTTCCTATAAACAAACGAGAAATTTATTAGGATTCCTTGGAAGCATTTGATGAGTTACACTTGATTTTTTTGAATACAGTATACTGGTCTCATTTCTCAGAGAGGTGGAAGTTCACCTGAGATGGGGTGAGGATAGAACATGATATGTAACAACAATAAAACATTCTCTACAAGAGATAGTTACATGCTATACAGAAGATAAAACATGCCAAAGGCAATGTTATTAAAGTAGCATATATTCAATAATATCTTACAGTAATACCTAAATAATTCTAGTGAGGAACTCAGTATTCTTTTTTTGTTTGTTTGTTTGTTTTTGAGATGGAGTCTCGCTCTGTTGCCAGGCTGGAGTGCAGTGGTGCGATCTTAGCTCACTGCAACCTCTGCCTCCCAAGTTCAAGCAATTCTTCTGCCTCAGCCTCCTGAGTAGCTGGGACTACAGGTGTGTGCAACCACGTCCAACTAATTTTTGTAATTTTAGTAGAGACGGGGTTTCACCATGTTGGCCAGGATGGTCTTGATCTCTTGACCTCGTGATCCACCCACCTTAACTTCCCAAAGTGCTAGGATTACAGGCGTGAGCCACCGCGCCCGGCCAGTATTCTTAATTCTGTGATAAAACTGAGATGTGACTTATCATCGGAGAGAAGTGAACGGTACCACTAAGCATAACAGCACCAACAGAGACAGACACATGAAAGTAAGCAGAACACCACAGTGTCTAGGTTCATTTATAAAAACAAAGTGAACCTACCAAAAGCACTATAAAGATCTGTGAAAATGCTTAAAACTAAGAATAGAAAAACCAGTCAGGTCAGAAACTGGGAAGTTTGGGAAAAGATACAGCAGCTTTGTGTGAGGTACATAGGGCGAGTAGTTCAGGATAAATGAGGTGAACAAGGCAAGGAGGTTGAAGGCTTGTCTTTATTTATTCTTAGTTATGTACCACAGGGGCAAACTTAGGACCTGGAAGACAAGTCTCAAAGGATCAGACCCAGTACAAATCACATGGAAACAAATTATGCCTGTAAGTATACATCCATGCAGAAGGCAAAAAGCTGAGATCCCTCAACAAGGAACTACAGAGTATCACTGAGACCTCGAGAAGCCTGACATTCTAGATAATAATGAGCAGTTATTACAATGAAATATTTTTCAAATGTTTTCTTTACCTTCCTTTCTCATTTCAGTACCCCATAGCAAGTGTGCCTACATGGTGAAATATGCTACGTTTGTCAATAAAGAGGATCTCATAGTCCTCTGAGAAAGACTTTGAGCCAAGAGAAGTGAAAAGTGAACATTTGCCAATATCTTTCTTGCCTTGGGTTACCTCTGATATGAAGTTCTATGAGACATTTTACCCACACTTATAATTGTAAGTTCTTAGGAAGATAAACAGATATAGATATATGCAAATATATGCAGACACTGAATGAAAGATCATTGTCATGCCATGAGAAAATAACCAAACATTTTTTTCCGAGACACTGAGTTCAATCTTCTAAGTGCCTGCATTTGGCATGGCACAAACTTTTAAAGCATTTTTGCATTGACTGGCTCACTTAATATAAAAGAAGCTCTAGAAGACTCTAATTTCCACTATAAAAATCTGATTTAAGAAAGCCTAAAGTAGCCTTCTACTAATGGAATATCTGCAACCTCTCTGAGCTTCATAAATACATATTTTGTTTTTAGAGAGTTCCTCATCACCATAATTTTATAAAAATGTAGATACAGTAGAAAGCTAATTTCCATAATAACTACGGACACAAAAATAACTACAAATGCATATCTATTCCAACAAATGTATTTGGAGATATATGCAGATAAAAGGGCCCATACGTATATAAGCAAAAGGATCATTTCAGGGAAGATAAAGATAAAATATGAAGTTAGGCCTTAATTACAAAATTTAAGTTGGTGGGAAGTGAGTGTATAGAAAAAAAATTAATGGCCAGTGAAGCAATCAAAAGACATTAGGATTTTTTCTTAATTTAAATAATTAAACTAAATTATGCTATATAGTAACAATAACAGAATATGGCATATACAATCTTTTTTCTTTAAAATTTAATAAATTAACCAATACAGGAGTACAGTCTTTTGTGAAAAATATAATCAGAAGTAATATTGCATGCATATATATTTAAGCATTTAGAATCACAGTATTTAAAAGATTACATTAACTGATTCACTGTGTAGTGGGGGAGTGTGTGATTTAAGTAGTCAAAAAATAATCCTTACCTCATTGATCAAAAATTGGAGCTGTAGGACAGCTGCACCACTTTCATGTTGGCAATAGCAATCAACACCAGGTCTCCCGAGTCTAATATAATAAAAGTCAAGGATTCTAACATTTTAATTAGCACCAATATTAATGAGCAAAGAAACTAACTTATTGATCAACAGATGTTTTGCTATTTGGTTTCCCTTATTTTTATAAATAGTTGAAAAATCTTACTCTTAGTAGATGTAAATTAAATTGTATACCTCAGATGTTTAATACTCCAACAATTTGAAAAAAAGAATGACAATAAGGAATTTGAAAGATGGCAGCTTTTTCCATGAAGTTAAACAAGAATTGGGAATCTAGATACACCTCATTTCATTTAAGATTTTTTAATTGATTAAACACTATTTTCACCACAATAAATTCAAAGTGAGTCAATAACTTCATATAATTAAATCATAAGATGAGACTTAAAAGACACAGGTAAATATGTTGATAATCTTGACATATAAAAAATCTTCTAAGCATAATTTAAAACTCAGAGATCATAAAGAAATAGACTGATATATCTGACTAAATAAAAGTATAAAACATCTACACAGAAAAACATGATAAGGTAAAAAAACGAGAAAACTGGAAAATAAATGGTAACAAGTCATCTACATATGCTACATAACATATAAGTAAGAGAGAGAGAAAAAAAAGGAAGGAGGAGGAATGAAGGTAAAAAAAAAAGAATGAGAAAACACCATATAACAAAATTTACTTACATATTCTATACCAAATGATCTGATATATATGTATATTTACTTATCATTTGTTTGCTTGCATAAAGATACAAATTAGATGAGAGTCTCCACTTACGGTCATAATGAGGAATGTGGGCCAGATTTATTCACCACATAAAACAATTAAAAATCTGTACAAAATGTATGTAACAAATTTTAAGACACTGCATATCAGGTAGGAAATGACAATGATCCCTGAAAGAGAGAAAATATATAAGGCGAGGCTTATGATAGCCCCAGTTTACTGCCTAGAGAGAATTTCAAGGCTCCAACACAAGGAAGGGGAACCCAGATAAAATCTAGCAGGCCTACTGAATGGGGAGACAGAATTAACAGTCTAGGGAGGCCAGGGACAACTAGAGTTCATAGGGTTGAGTAGCAAAGAAGAAAATGTGACACACAAAAAGAGCTCTAGAGATTTGCAGAAGGGTCTTCCTCAAATCTTTAGCTAAGTACTAAGGAAGGAATAAGTTTGAAGAAACTATCTGAGACTGAGGAAAGAACAAACCAAGAAGAAAAAGCATCCTTCTTGAAGAATAAATCAAGAAAACAAACCAAAAATAAAGTTTATGTTGAGGCAAGAATTTTTCATGTTCCCACCAACAAAAGTGCAAACCCTCAGAATTCACATACAAAGTACTCAGAGAATATTACCTCAGTATGAGGAAAAATTCCTCCCTAAGATAAAGACTGCTCTGGTTCTGCTTAGCAGTACTTAAAACCAGGTTACAAAAGGATCAAACTGTTCCACATAGCTTAACTGCATACTAAACAAAGATCAAGGATAATTATAGAAATACGAAAACCTTTAGCACTCAAAAACGTAAAATTCAAGAGGTATGGCATTCACTGCAGAGAAGTAAAAAAATATAACTTGTAACAAGGAGAAATATCAATAGAAAGAGACCCAGAAATAAAACAGGATAGAAATAATAGACAGAGATAGTAAAACATTTATTATACTACACTGCATATGTTGAAGAAGGTAGAGAGATTGAGCATGTTAAGTAGATATACAGAAGATAGATCTATCTATCCATCCATCTATCTACCTATCTATCTCAAATAGAATATCTAGAGATTTTTTTAAAAAAATTCATTGAGGATTAGTGAACTTGAAAATATGTCAATAAAAACTACCCAAAATATAACACAGAGAAAAAAATCACTGAGGGGTAGAGAAAGAACAGCACACCATTGAACTGTGGGTCAATGTCAAATGGCCTAATTAGTTGTAATTTGAGTAATAAAAAAGAGAAAGAGGAGGGAGAGAAGAGATAAAATTTTTTTTAAATAATGACCAAAATTAAGTTTTCTTCACAAATGAAACTGAAATGAAGACACTTTTCAGACACATAAAACTGAAATAATTCATCATGAACAGACCTGCACTAAAAGGAATGTGAAAGAGGGTCTTCAGGCAAAAGGGAAATGATATCAAATAGTATCTGGATATACAAAAAGGAAAAAAGAACATTTAAAATGATAAATATATGGGTAAATATAAAATACAAGTTATCTTTAAAAAATAATTTACTGTTTAAAGCAAAAATAATAATAGTACATTTGTGGTTTATAACGTATGTAGAAGTAAAATGATATTAACAATAACACAAAGGCCAATAGGAGGGGAAATAGAAACTTTACTATTATACCATTCATAAAGTAGTATAACATTAATTGAAGGTAAATTTATATAAGGTACAGCTGCACACTATTAATATAAACCATAAGGCAATCAGCAAGAAGATTACAGCTAATTAGCCAACGAAGGAGACAAAATGAAATCATTAAAAAGTTTAACAAAAAATAACGCAGAATATTGTTGGGGGGAGCTAAGAACTAGTAAGATAAATAGAAAACAAAGAGCAAGATGGTAGATTTATACCCAGCTATACCAATACCACACTAAATGCAAACAGTGTAAACACCCCATTTAAAATGCAGTGATTGTGAGAAAAGACAAAAATGCAGACCTAAGTATATGCTTTGTACAGAAACCTCCTTTAAATATATACAAATAGGTTAATATATACAAATAGGTTAAAAGTTAAAACATAGAAAATTATACACCATGCTAACATTAATTAAGATATAGGTGGAAAGATATATTAATATACAGTAAAGTTGATTTCAGAATACAGAACATTACCGGGGTTAAAGGTGGTCACTTCATAATAATAAATGGGTTAAATTATTAAAAAAACATAAAAATCCTAAATTATACACCTAATTACAGAGCTTAAAATACATAATACAAAATTGATAGAACCACAAAGAGAAACAGATGAATTCACAATTATAGTTCGAGTTTTTAGCACCCCTTTCTCGATAACTAATATAAGACAAAATCAGTAAAAATGAAGAAGACATAAGTAAAAGGCTATCAACCAACTTGTCCCAATTGGCATTTATAAAACACACAACCCAAAAAGAGCAGAATAAATATACTTTTGAAATATAAAAGAAACAATTACTAAGAGATAAAATATTTCGAACTATAAAACAAGTATCAAAGCATTTAAAAGTATTGAAATCATAAAGAGTATAGTTTCTGACCACAATTGAATTTGAAATTAATAACATCCAGAAAACCCTCCAAATGTTTGAAAATTAAATTATAAACTACTAAATAAGCATTGATAAAAAACAGTAGATAATTTAATAAACTAATAAAAATATATCAAAGGTGTGAGATGCAGCTAAAGCAGCACTTTGAGAAAAATTTAGAGCTTTTATTACCTATATTAGCAAAGAAAAAGATCTTAAATTATGTAAGCTTTCATCTTAAGAAGGTAGAAAAAGAAGAGCAAATTAATTTCAAAACCAGAAAAAAGGAGAACAATAATAAAGATGATCAGATAAATCAATAAAATAGAAACAGATCAACAATTTAAAAAAAGTGAAACCAAAACCTAGTTTGAAAAATTCAATGAAATTAATAAACCTTCCGCCAGAGTGATCAAGGTAAAAAGAAAGTACACACATTTCCTTTTATAAGGAAAGGAATATTACCATAAAAACTTTAGAAATTAAAAAGACAACAAACAAATATTATTTAAAAAATTATGCCAATAAATTTGACAATCTAAATGAAATGGACAAATTCCCAGAAAGACATAAATTACACAAGGAGAAGTAGGAAATTTAACAGCACTATACAAATTAATGAAACTGAATTCTAATTAAAATTATTTCCTCAAAGAAAACTCCAGGTCAAGATACCATTACTTATAAAATAAAATCTATGACACATTTAGAGGAAAAAATAATGCCAATTCTATAAAATTCCTGCAGAAAAATTGAGAGGAAGAAAGATTTTCTGACTCATTCTATAAAAATACTTTTACTCTAATACCAAATCATGACAAACTATATCATAAAACAAGAAAACTTCAGACTAATATCTCTCATGAATATAGATTCAAAAAATACCAATAAAAAATGTTGGCAAATTTAATACAACAACATATAAAAAGACTATAGTGCTTCATAAGGCCAAGGCAGGAGGATCATTTGAGGCCAGGATTTCAAGACCAGCCTGGGCAACATAGCAAGATCTCATCTCTACAAAACTTTAAAAGATAATAAAATTAGCTGGGTTCAGTGGCACATACCTGTGATCCCAGATAGTAAGGACGGTGAGGCAAGAAGATTGCTTAAGTCCAGAAATTTAAGGTTATAGTGAGCTATAATCACACCTCTGCACTCCCATCTGGATGACAGAGTAGAGCCTTTCAAAAAAAAAAGAAAAGAAAAAGACAGAAAAAAAAAAAACCAGGTGTGGTGGCTCACTTCTGGAATCCCAATACTTTCGGAAGCCAAAGCAGAATGATTGCTTGAAGCCAGGAGTTCAAGACAAGCCTGGCCAACATAGTGAGACCCCCATCTCTACAGATAAGATTTTTGAAAAATTAGCTGTGCATGATAATGTGTGCTGGTAGTCCCAGCTACTCAGCAGGCTTAAGTGGGAGGATTGCCTGAGCCCAGGAGTTTGAGGCTTTAGTGAGCTATGACCATGCCACTGAACTCAAGCCTGGGTGACAGAGAAAGACCTCATCTCTAAAAAATATATATTTTTAAAATTTTTTAAAGAATTATATAATATAACCAGTGGGATTTATGCCAGGAATGCAATGTTGGTTGAACATTTAAAAATACATATGTAACTAACCTGCACAATGTGCACATGTACCCTAAAACTTAGAGTATAATAAAAAAAAAAAAAAAAAAAATCAATCAATGTAAGTCATCCTATCAACTGAAAACAAAACCAATCATTTTGATAGATACAGAAAAAGCATTTGACAAAGTTTAAGATGCTTTCTTAATAAAATCTCCCAGTAAACTAGGAAAAGTGAACTTCCTCAATCTGATTAAGTTCATTTAAGGAAAATTTGTACATTATTCTTAACAGCAAGAGGAACAATACTTTCTACCTAGGATAATGAATAAAGCAAGAATCATCTATCATTATTTCTATTTACTATCATGCTAGATACTAGAAGTACTATCAAGTGCATTAAGGTGAGAAAAATAAAAAGCATGCAGGCTGGAAAGGAAGACAACTCTATTTGCAGAAAACATCAAATTTATATAGGAAAACCATAAGAAAGCCATAAAATATTACTGAAACAAATAATAAGGTTGTAGAATGCAAAATCAATTTTTTTTAAGATGGAGTCTCACTCGTGTTGCCCAGGCTGGAGTACAGTGGCTCAATATCAGCTCACTGCAACCTCTGCCTCCTGGGTTCAAGCGATTCTCCTGCCTCAGCTTCCCAAGTAAGTGGGATTACAGGAGCCCACAACCGTGCCCAGCTAATCTTTGCAGTTTTAGTAGAGATGGGATTTCACCATGTTGGCTAGGCTGGTCTCAAACTCCTGACCTCAAGTGATCTGCCCACCTCAGCCGCCCAAAGTGCTGGATTACAGTTGTGAGCCACCATGCCCAGCCCCCAAATTTTTAAATAAATTGTAATTCTATCTACTAGCAAAGACCAATTATATATTAAGAAAAATTCATTTAAAACAGCACCAAGAAATACTTTGGAATAAGTTTAACAAAAGATGTTTTAAGACCTGTTCACTGAAAGCTATAAAATATTACAAAGAGAAATTAAAGACCAAAATAAATGAAGATGTTCAAGACTCAATATTGTTAAGATGGCAACTTTCCCTAAATTGATCTAGATTCATTAAAATGACAATACTTCCCAAAGCAATCTACAGATTCAATGCAATTTCTATCAAAATACTAATGTCATTTTTCACAGAATTAGAAAAAATCTTAAAATTCATATGGAACCAATAAAAGTGCCAGAATAGCCAAAGCAATCTTAAGCAGAAAGAACAAAGCTGAAGACATAACATTGCCCAGCCTCACATTACACTACAAAGCTACAGTAACCCAAACAGCATATTGATATAAAAATAGACACATATCTCAATAGAACAGAATCGAGAACCCAGAAATAAAGCCACATATCTACACCCAACTGATACTTAATAAAGTCAATGAAAACATACACTGGGAAAGGACATCCTTTTCAATAAATGGTGCTGGGAAAATTGGATTGTCATATGCAGAAACATGAAACTGGACCCCTATCTCTCACTATATACAAAAACCAACTCAAGATGGAGTAAAGACTTAAATGTATGACCTCAAACTATAGAACTACTAGAAGAAAACTTGAGAAAACTCTTCTGGACATTGGCCTAGGCAAAGGATTCATTATTAAGACCTCAAAAGCACAAGCAACAAAAACAAAAATAGGCAAGTGGGGCTTAATTAAAATAAAACCTTCTGACAACAAAGGAAACAATCAACAGAACGAATAGCCAACCTGCAGAATGGGAGAAAATACGTGCAAACTATTCTGGGGACTGACATCCAAAATCTACAAAGAACTCAAACAACTCAACAACAGTAAAACAAATAACCCCATTAAAAAACAGGCAAAGGACATGAACAGGCATTTTTTCCAAACAAAGACCTACAAATTGCCAACAAGTATATAAAAAATGCTCTACAACACTATTCATTAGAGAAATACAAATTAAAACCACAATGAGATATCATCTTATGTCAGAATGACTATTATTAGAAAGTCAAAAAATAACATGTTGGCAAGGATGTGGAGGAAAGGGAACACTTACACATTGTTGGTGGGAAAATAAACTAGTACAAACTCTGTGGAAAATAGTGTGGATATTTCTCAAAGAACTAAAAATATAACTACTATTCAATCCAGCAATCCCAATATTAGGTATCTACCCAAAGGAGAAGAAATCATTATACCAAAAAGATAATTCCACTTATAAGTTTATTGCAGCACTATTCGCAATAGCAGATACATGGAATCAATCTAAGTGTCCATTAATGGATGGTTCGATAAAGAAAATGTGAGCTAGATAGATACATAGATAGATGGATGGATGGATGGATGGATAGATAGATGATAGATAGATAGATAGATAGATGATATAGGTACAGCTATATAGAGAGATATATAATGGAATACTATTCAGCCATAGAAAATGAAATCATATCTTTTGCAGCAACATAAATGGAATTAGAGGCCATTATCCTAAGTTAGATCAACTCAGAAACTGTGAAATATTACAGTCTCACTTATAGATGGGAGTTAAATAACGTGTCCACATGGACATAAAGTGTGAAATAATAGACATTGGACACTCAGAAAGGTGGGAAGGAGGAGGATGAGGGATGAGAAATTACTTAATGGGTATAAGGTATATTATTTGGGTAATGGTTACACTAAGAACTCAGAATTCACCACTATGTAGTATATTCATGCAACAAAACTGCAATTGTACCCCTTAAATGTATATAAATTTCAGAAAAAAATAAAGAAAACAATGGTTTTATGTTTTGTTTATATCACTAACCTCCATTTGCTACCTAGAGAGTGGCATATTATAGATGCTCATTTTAAAATAATATCCAAAGCTTAGTTTCCTAGTGCTATTTTAGTAGTTACTATCCAAAAGACTTGCATAGAATCAATTTTTAAAAACATAGAAATGGCATGAGAAAATACTATTTTTAATAAGAGTTAAAATATTTCAAGATCTTTTAAGTATTTCTTAAAGCAGTAATGTATTAATCAGTTTAATTCATGTTTTCACAGGCTGCTTGATACTTTTCAGCTGTGACATTTAGTTTATATAATTATAACAAATGTTCACAAAACTCAAAGTATATAATTTTATATAAAACACTATAATTTATCTTTCAATTATTAAAAAAAGTTCTTACTTATAAGAATATATAGCAGTTAATGCTAAAATTACAAATACAATTACAGACTACTTGGTAATGTATTGGTTTAACACCAAGTGGGTAAATATACCATAAAAAACACACGAATTTATTTATTTATTTATTTTTTAATGTTTTTTTTTTTTTTAATTGTACTTTAAGTTTTAGGGTACATGTTCACATTGTGCAGGTTAGTTACATATGTATACATGTGCCATGCTGGTGCACTGCACCCACTAACGTGTCATCTAGCATTAGGTATATCTCCCAATGCTATCCCTCCCCCCTCCCCCGACCCCACCACAGTCCCCAGAGTGTGATATTCCCCTTCCTGTGTCCATGTGATCTCATTGTTCAATTCCCACCTATGAGTGAGAATATGCGGTGTTTGGTTTTTTGTTCTTGCGATAGTTTACTGAGAATGATGGTTTCCAATTTCATCCATGTCCCTACAAAGGACATGAACTCATCATTTTTTATGGCTGCATAGTATTCCATGGTGTATATGTGCCACATTTTTTAATCCAGTCTATCATTGTTGGACATTTGGGTTGGTTCCAAGTCTTTGCTATTGTGAATAATGCCGCAATAAACATACGTGTGCATGTGTCTTTATAGCAGCATGATTTATAGTCATTTGGGTATATACCCAGTAATGGGATGGCTGGGTCAAATGGTATTTCTAGTTCTAGATCCCTGAGGAATCGCCACACTGACTTCCACAATGGTTGAACTAGTTTACAGTCCCACCAACAGTGTAAAAGTGTTCCTATTTCTCCACATCCTCTCCAGCACCTGTTGTTTCCTGACTTTTTAATGATTGCCATTCTAACTGATGTGAGATGATATCTCATAGTGGTTTTGATTTGCATTTCTCTGATGGCCAGTGATGATGAGCATTTTTTCATGTGTTTTTTGGCTGCATAAATGTCTTCTTTTGAGAAGTGTCTGTTCATGTCCTTCGCCCACTTTTTGATGGGGTTGTTTGTTTTTTTCTTGTAAATTTGTTTGAGTTCATTGTAGATTCTGGATATTAGCCCTTTGTCAGATGAGTAGGTTGCGAAAATTTTCTCCCATGTTGTAGGTTGCCTGTTCACTCTGATGGTAGTTTCTTTTGCTGTGCAGAAGCTCTTTAGTTTAATTAGATCCCATTTGTCAATTTTGGCTTTTGTTGCCATTGCTTTTGGTGTTTTGGACATGAAGTCCTTGCCCGTGCCTATGTCCTGAATGGTAATGCCTAGGTTTTCTTCTAGGGTTTTTATGAAAAACACATGAATTTATTACCTAGTGGCTAATAAGGTCACGAATAACAACTTTCTAGTAGCTAAATTCAATGATCACTTTTCAGTCTTTCTCTAATTTGATCCCTATTGCAATATTTGACTTTATAATCAAACCTTTCTTCATGATACATTCTTCTTCCTTTGGCTTTTTATAATAACAAGACTCTCCAATTTCTTTTTTTTTTTTGCCCATCACTTCTAAAGTTCCCTTGGGAAATTATTTTTCTCTACTGCTTATATATTTTCCTACATTCTTTTCTAGACCTACTTCTTTTCATACCTTACTCACTCCTCCTGGGCCATCTCAGCCTTCAATTACCATTATATGTTTATGATTCCAAAATCTTTATCTGCAGCTCAGAATTCTTCCCCAAATTTCAGAAAATGTATCTAAATACTCAGTAGATCACTCTACTTGCATGTACCACAAAAATCTTATACTTAGCACGTAACAAACTGGTTATCTTTCCTACCAAATCCTGCTTTGCTTTTTCTGTATCCTATCTCAGTGAGTGGCAAAACCTTCCACTATGATGGTCAGGCCTATCATCTGTTATTCTATTCCAAATTCAGCATATTATGTTAGTCAATTCTACTTTGAAGCATCTCTTGAGTACATCTATTTTTGCCCATTCTTAATGCTACTATCAAATCTTTCACATTGCAACTCCTTAACTGGTCTCCTTGTGTAGTGGTTAATTTTATGTCCACTTAGGTACCCAGTTTTTGACCAAATACCAGTCTAAATCTTGCTATGAAGATATTTTTTATGTGATTAATATTTAAATCAGCAGATTTTGAATACAGCAGGTTACCCTTCATAATATGGATTGGCCTTCTGTTGAAGGCCTTATAAGACCAAGTTCCCTGAGAAAGAATTCTGACTCCAGACTGCCTTTAGATGTAAGACAGCAACATCAATCATCCCTGGGTCTCCAGCCTGCCAACCTGCCCTACAGATTTTGGATTTGCCAGCCTCCATAGTTGTGTGAGCCAATTTCTTAAAACAATCTAGATAGTTGATTGATTGATTGATGAATAGACAGAAATAGAAATATATACACATACATAGATATATACATATACATCCTATTGGTTGCCAATAGGATATACATATACATATATGTATGCACATACATGTACATAAACATCCTATTGTTGTGTATTCTGACCTTGCTTCCAACCTATTTTCCACAATGCATCCTCAGTCATCTTTCTACAATGAAAATCTCATAATGCCATTCCTGTTTAAAAGTCTCCTGCCACGAGAATAATATTCAAATTCCTTATGGGGTTTTAATCATGTGGTTTATGGGGTGTTTCACGAACTGCTTGCTGCTTATCTTTCAGCCTTTTCCTTCTCTGAGTAATTCTCACATGCAATAAAGATACAGTGGGAGAAGAGATCATAATTTGTTTTAAGAGTGTCAATACATCCACATTAGGTCACTTCTATAGCATGGTTTGCGATGTTGCTCTTGGAAGCTTGTCTTGAACTCATTTTTCCAGCTCTCCCAGTAAGTTACCCAATATCCATTTAATAAACTCCCTTTCTTTTTTGAGGAGAGGGGAGCTATTGCTTTAATTGATCAGGTTTAAAAAGCCATTGAATTTTCCTAAAATATTGATTCTCAAGCTTTATCATGCATCAAAATCTTCTACAGGACATGTTAATACACAGATGGCTGAGCCCTACACTGAGAATTTCTGATCAGTAGTTCTAGGGTGGGGCCTGGGAATTCTGGGAATTTATATGTTTTTTATACTTTAAGTACTGGGATACAGGTGCAGAACGTGCTGGTTTGTTACATAGGTATACACGTGCCATGGTGGTTTGCTGCACCCATCAACCCATCATCTACATTAGGTATTTCTCCTAATGTTATCCATCCCCTAGTCCCACACCCCGCAACATGCCCCGGTGTGTGATGTTCGCCATGCTGTATCCATGTGTTCTCATTGTTCAACTCCCACTTCTGAGTGAGAACATGCAGTGTTTGGTTTTCTGTTCCTGTGTTAGTTTGCTGAGAATCACAATTTCCAGCTTCATCCATGTCCCTGCAAAGGACATGAACTCATCCTTTTCTATGGCTGTATAATATTCCATGGTATATATGCACCACATCTTCTTTATCCACTCCTATCACTGATGGGCATTTGGGTTGGTTCCGAGTCTTTGCTATTGTGAATAGTGCCACAATAAACATATGTGTGCATGTGTCTTTATAGCAGCATGATTTATAATCCTTTGGGTATACACCCAGTAATGGGATTGCTGAGTCATATAGTATTTCTGGTTCTAGATCCTTGAGGAATCATCACACTGTCTTCCACAATGGTTGAACTAATTTACACACCCACCAACAGTGTAAAAGTGTTCCTATTTCTCCACATCCTCTCCAGCTTCTGTCGTTTCCTGACTTTTTAATAATCACCATTGTAACTGGCATGAGATGGTATCTCATTGTAGTTTTGATTTGCATTTCTCTAATGACCAGCGATGATGAGCTTTTTTTCATATGTATGTGGGCCTCATAAATGTCTTCTTTTGAGAAGTCTCTGTTCATATCCTTTGCCCACTTTTTCATGGGGTTTTTTTTTTCTTGTAAATTTGTTTAAGTTCCTTGTAGATTCTGCATATTAGTCTTTTGTCAGATGGATAGATTCAAAAAAAATTCTCCCATTCTGTAGCTTACCTGTTCACTCAGATGATAGTTTCTTTTGCTGTGCAGAATCTCTTTAGTTTAATTAGATCCCATTTGTCAATTTTGCCTTTTGTTGCCATTGCTTTTGGTATTCTAGTCACGAAGACTTTGCCCATGCCTATGTCCTGAATGGTATTGCCTAGGTTTTCCTCTAGGGTTTTCATGGTTTTAGGTCTTACGTTTAAGTCTTTAATCCATCTTGCATTAATTGTTGTATAAGGTGTAAGGAAAGGGTCCAGTTTCACTTTTCTGCATATGGCTAGCCAGTTTTCCCAACACCATTTATAAAATGGGGAATCCTTTCCCCATTTCTTGTTTTTGTCAGGTTTGTCAAAGATCAGATGGTTGTAGATGTGTGGTGTTATTTCTGAGGCCTCTGTTGTGTTCCATTGGTCTATATATCTGTTTTGTTACCAGTACCATGCTGTTTTGGTTACTGTAAGCCTTGTAGTATAGTTTGAAGTCACATAGCGTGATGCCTCCAGCTTTGTTCTTTTTGCTTAGGATTGTCTTGGCTATATGGGCTCTTTTTTGGTTCCATATGAAATTTAAAGTAGTATTTTCTAATTCTGTGAAGAAAGTCAGTGGTAGCTTGACGGGGATAGCATTGAATCTATGAATTACTTTGGTCAGTATGGCCATTTGCACGATATTGATTCTTCCTATCCATGAGCATGAAATGTTTTTCCATTTGTTTGTGTCCTCTCTTATTTTCTTGAGCAGTAGTTTGTAGTTCGTCTTGAAGAGGTCCTTCACATCCCTTGTATGTTGTATTCCTAGGTATTTTATTCTCTTTGTAGCAATTGTGAATGGGAGAATAAACTCCCTTTCTAATCAATCAGCCAACTAGTTTCTATTGTTAGCAATTAAGAACCACAACTTATATGGCAGTTGTTGTCAGGAATTAAGTGGTACAAAAACAGAACCTGAATGTGGAATTTTGGCTCAGTGAAGGAAGCAAAGTAACAGAAGTGAGGATATAGCCACTGCACTGATTACTATTTAAATTTAAATTATTGGTAGGTTTTCTTTTATTTTCTTTGCTACTACCAGAAAAAAATGATGGTTCCAATGGCTTATACAAGATCTCCAAAGAAAATGATAATCTTATTTTTGAAAACTGACTGTAAATATAAATGAAGCAATATTTCTAAAAGATCTCCTTAGAATATTTTTGATGTTTCTACTATAGAAAATGTAAGGGACAACCTGGGAACACACAGCAGTGGATAGCTTTACTTTTGAATATCATATAATCACTACAAGACTCTTGCAATGATTTTTGAGGAAAGAAGACCTACATAAAAATTTCTAAGTTTTTGAGGATATTCTAGTAACTTACAGCCATTGATCAAGCAAGTTATAGAGTACCAATTAATTTTTCCATTACTAATAATATCAACTAGAGAAAAGAAAATACTGCAAAAATTTCTGCTATAGCCTGAAAAAGTTATTATTTCTATTTATTAATAGCATAATAATCTATGTATTACACAGCAAACAATCCACTTAATACTTCTAAACTTAATGAAAATGTAGTCAGTGATTTTGAAATAATTCAGCTGTGAAAACAAATTAATTCTAATGTTTCTATTAATTTAGATACAATTTTTGAATACATACTTGTATTAATTAATTTATTTAACAAATGTATATTGCGTATGTGATTTCTGAAGAAATTTAACTGACTGAATTTTTATTTCCAGAACAGATTATTTCTGGCCCTATTGCATATCACCAAATAAATCAAGTGACAGTTTACAGAGTACTCAAAAAGTTATGGTGATAGAGAAAAGTAGAAAAAATCAAACTAATAGCTGAGAGCTGAGGATATATGAAAGGAAAGGTGAAGAATAAAATATAGGGTGACTATCAGTGTAGTAGGTAGAATAATGCACCAGCCCTGAAGATGTCCATGTCCTGATCCCTGAAACCTTTGAATATGTTATGTTACATGACAAGGTGAAATTAAGGTTGCAGATGGAATGAAGGTCACTGTTTGGCTGACCATGAGATGGGGAGATTATCTTGGATTATTCAGGTGGGCTCACCGTAACTACAAGAGTCCTTATAAGTGAAAAAAACAAACAAAAAAAGACACAGGGAGTTAGTGTCAGGGTAATGCAACATGAAATAGACTCCACTGACCACTGTGGACTTTGAGGATGGAAAGGGGCCAAGAGCCAAAGAACAAAGGCAGCCTTTAGAAGCTGAAAAAGGAAGGAAAACAAATTCTTCCCTACAGCCTCCAGAAAGAAGTGCAGCTCTTCCAACACATTGATATTAACCAAGTGAGACTCATTTTGGGATTCTGATCTCCAAAACTGTAAGATTCAAAGGACTTACCCTACATGGATGCTATTAAGTTAACCTTTCAGTTCCTCTTGACCCTGATATCCCACGGGGGTGACTTTTTCCTTTTCTTACACTAATTTCCTTAAATCATGATTAACTATATGAATTTGAGTACTCTCTTTCAGAATGTATTAACACATTGGATTTACATGGCTCTCAAAAGTATTCTGAAATGGAATGAGACATATTTTGATCATGTGCTTATAGGATTTAGGAATCCAATGGATATATACATATATATAAACACACATACACATATACAAACACATATATATATACATATATACACATAAATAGAAAAACTTACATTCATTTTGAAGAGGATCAGAATATGCCACACCAATATATGCCACTTTGGCATATGGATTATTTTGAGCTGAAGGCAACTGAGAATCAACAGATGTAGAAAGAAGTCTACTCAGAGCTTCCCTTGTCTGACTAAAAGCAGAAACTTATGGAAGTGAGGGCTGCTTGGAATAACCTCTTTTTGTAGTGCAACCTAGAAATATAACTATATATATATATTTTTTAATAATACTTTAAGTTTTAGGGTACATGTGCACAACGTGAAGGTTTGTTACATATGTATATAACTATATTATATATCTGCCACCTCTTCCTGATTTTACTTTTTCTTCCTCTTTTAGTTACTCTTTTCTCTTATTCCTATTCTTTCAGTGTCAAATTTCTTGAATCACTAACGGATGCTTTCTCTGCTTATTCAACTTGCATTCAGTCTTTGCCCTATGTTCATCAAACTTTGTCATCCATCTTTTCTCTGAAACTACATTAGCTAAGGTCATAAATTACCTAACTGCCAAACCATTGAGCACTGTTGTACATATGAGGATATATCAGTGAACAAGACATAAAAGCCCTTGCTCTCATATTGCTATATTTTACTTGAAGGGAAGCAACAGCAAACAAATAAGCAAAATGAGAAAATATAAGCTAGTGATGTGTTATAATGAAAATAAAATAGGAATATGTGATAAAGAGTGTTTTGTGGTTGTCTCTTAAGGAAAGGCTCTGTTAGTAGGTGACTTTAAAGCTCAGGCATGAATATAAAAGATTTAACCAGGCAATAATCCAGGTGATCTAGAACAAAGACATTTAATTGTGAATTAACTTGAGTTATTAAAAGAACTGTAAAAGGTTAATGGTGCTTGGAACACAGTGATTGAGGTTGGAGAAGAAGCAAGTACTTGATCATATAGACACCTTTAAATCAAGGTGATACATTTGAATTTTATTTTAGATGTAATGAAAAGTCACTGAAGGCTTTTAAGCATGGGAATTAAATATAATTTAATTATAATATAATTTAATTATAATTATATATAACTTATAAAATTATAAATATATTTATATATAATATATTGATAATACTAATATATTATTAACATTAATATATTATACATTATGATATATTGATATAATTTATAAAATTATAGATATATTTATAAATTTATATAATTTATATATTATAAATATATAAATAATTATAATATAATTTAATGATATACTTTTAAAAATTACTTTATATAAGTAATGCTCTAGAGGGATTCAAAAACAGAGGCAGTAAGGCTGGTTTTAGTAGGATGTTTATTCATTAAGCAATTTATTCCTAAATGCCAGATAAGACAACTAATATAATCCCATGTACCAGGTAAAAATATATCTGAGTCAACAGTTCACGGTTTACAGAAACTATTGGAATTTGAGAGCCAAGAGCAGGTTTTGGAAATTCAAATACCTGCAAAATTTAGACAGTTAAAAATTAACTTAAGTGAATAAAGTGTAAGAAATATATGGAACAGTAAAACCTTTAGTAAACTGGAAAGTCTGTACAATTTAAAGAAGCAGCTATGCTTCAGCTTCAGCTGATAATTGCTATATGAGAACTCAGGCTCAGATCTGATTATTCAAGAGAAAATATTTGCATTATAATATTTATATTTAGAGAAAACCCACTTATATATAATGTATACTTTAAAAGAGCAAACCATATAGGGTTGAGTTATAAGCAATAGTATTTCTTGCTATCCCAACTACTCCCTCAATCTACTGTGTACATCCTAAGCTGTCCAAGGAATCATTTTGAAAACTCCTTTTCACTAGGTCCAGCATAGGGAGATAGGGAAGCATTTCCTACTTCTTCAAAAATAGGGGAGGCTTAAAAACCACCAAAACTCCCTTTAAAGAAATATTTATAATCTCTAACATCTCTCTTGGCCTCTCTAACTTCTCTTATTAATTGAGTTGGGTGGTTACCTAAGAGTCATAAATTACTTTTTCATTTTCTCTTCAAGCCTTGCCAAGGTGATTTAGTGCCTTGCTTTGGAATTTGGGGAATATTTGCCACCTAGTTTTGGAGACCTCAATTTAAACTATCATTTTAACATTCTGTTATATACAATATTAGAATGATACTGTTCTAAGCATTGAGAAATTAAGTGATTTTTCATGATCAAAAAACCAGGGCATGATAGAAGTAGAATTCTAATCCAGGGTTTTCTAAATCAATTGCTCAAGCTTTATGCACTATTTTTGTTGTCTTTATTATCTTTTAATTTCTGTAAGGATCAAATCTATATACTTGTGTTTATACATTTATGGGATATATATCATGGAATAGATGTTGTAGAGAAGGAAAAATTTTCTCCAACCTCTTAACGTTTTCTACTTGAGTGTTGCAAATTAAATTAACAAATGACATTAATGGTAGAATGAGTTTATAAATGTTATTGATGGTAATATTTTTATTTTACCTGCATGGGGCTTCACAGAAAAGAAGTGGAAACCCAAGAGATGTTTAGACTTGACAGCTTACATAGCACTCGAAGTTACCTGAATTCCAGAGCTGAATGTATCCGAGAGCTGACAGAACACTGAAAGGTATTTGAATTTCAAACACCAAGAGTAGAGATATCTCAATGCTCAACCAGAGGCATTCAGTAGTAACCCCAAAAAGATTTTACCTTAGTGGTAGGACTAAAGAATTCCTAAAGTAAAGCCACTCTAGACCCATCCTAATTCCCTAATGGCATATGAGGCAAAGCATATTTTCATATGCTTATTTGTGATCCATATAGCCTCTTTGGTGATATCTGTTCAGAAATTTTACCAATGTTTAAATTAGGTTGTTTTCTTATTGTTGAGTTTTTAAAGTTCTTTAAGCTTGTGGACAGCAATACTTTTTTAGATACATGTTTTGCAAATATTTTCTCCAAGTCTGTGGCCTCTCTTTTGATTCCTTTAAGAGTGTCTTTCGCAGGGCAATTTTTATTTTTCATTTTTTGTTTAAGAATACATTTTTAGGCCAGGCACGGTGGCTCATGCCTGTAATCCCAGCACTTTGGGAGGCCAAGGCGGGCGTATCACAAGGTCAGGAGATCGAGACCATCCTGGCTAACACGGTGAAACTCCATCTCTACTAAAAATACAAAAAAAAATTAGCTGGGGGTGGTGGTGGGCACCTGTAGTCCCAGCTACTTGGGAGGCTGAGGTAGGAGAATGGCGTGAACCCGGGAGGCAGAGCTTGCAGTGAGCCAAGATTGCACCACTGCACTCCAGCCTGGGCGACGGAGTGAGACTTCTAGAATTTTTATGGTGTCAGGTCTTAGATTTAAGTCTTTGATCCATCTTGAGCTGATTTTTGTATAAAGTGAGAGAAGAGAATCCAGTTTCGTTTTTATACACCTGGCTTGCCAATTATCCCAGCACCATTTGTTAAATAGGGTGTCCTTTCCTCATCTTATGTTTTTGTTTGCTTTGTCAAAGATAAGTTGGCTGTATTTCTGGGTTCTCTATCCTGTTCCATTTGTCTACATAACTATTTTTATACCAATACCACTGTTTTGGTAACCATAGCCTTGTAGTGTAGTTTGCAATGGGATAATGTGATACCTCCATATTTGTTCTTTTTGCTTTGTCTTGCTTTGGCTAGGTGGGCTCTTTTTTGGTTCCATATGAATTTTATGATTGTATTTTCTAGTTCTGTGAAGAATGATGGTGGTATTTAGATGATAATTGCATTGAATTTGTAGATTGCTTTTGGAAGTATAGTCATTTTCACAATACTGATTCTATCCATCCATGAGCATGGGAGGGGTGTCCATTTGTTTGCATCATCTGATTTCTTTCAGCAGTGTTTTGTAGTTTTCCTTGTACAGGCCTTTAATCTCCTTGGTTAAGTATATTCCTAAGTATTTTTTTTTTTGCAACTATTGTCAAAGGAATTGAGCTTGATTTCATTCTCAACTTGGTAACTGTTGGTGTATAGAAGAGCTACTGATTTGTGTGCATTATTTTTGTATCTTGAAACTTTGCTGAATCTATTTACCAGTTCTAGGAGCTTTTTAGATGAGTCTTTAGAGTTTTCTAGGTATACAATCATCACAAACAGCAACAGTTTGACTTCCTCTTTACCAGTTTGGATGCCCTTTCTTTCTTTCTCTTGTCTAATTGCTCTGGCTAGGATTTCCAGTACTATGTTGACTAGAAGTGGTAAAAGTGGGTATCTTTATCTTTTTCCAGTTCTCAGGGGGAATGCTTTCAACTTTTCCCCATTCAGTATAATGTTGGCTGTGGGTTTGTCACAGATGGCTTTACCTTAAGATACGTCCCTTCTCTGCCAATTTTACTGAGGGTTTTAATCATAAAGCGGTGCTGGATTTTGTCAAATGCCTTTTCTGTGTCTATTGAGATGATCATGTGAATTTGGTTTTTAATCCTATTTATGTGGTATATCACACTTATTGATTTGTGTATGCTAAACTATGCCTGCATCCCTGGTATGAAACCCACTTGATCATGGTGGATTATATTTTTAATATGGTCTTGGATTCGGTTAGCTAGTATTTTGTTGAGGATTTTTGCATCTATGTTAATCAGGGATATTAGTCTATAGTTTACTTTTTATTTAAGGTCCTTTCTTGGTTTTGATATTAGGATTTGATTTAGAGAGGATTACCTCTTTTATCTTTTAGAATAGTGTCAATAGCATTGGTACAGATTCTTATTTGATTGTCTCATAGAATACAGCTGTTAATCCATCTGGTCCTGGACTTTTTTTGTTGTTGTTGGTAACTTTTTAATTACAATTTCAATCTTGCTGCTTGTTACTATTTAGAGTCTGTTTAGAGTTTCTATTTCTTCCTGGTTTAATCTAAGAGGTTTGTGTATTTCCAGCACTTTATCCATCTCCTCTAGGTTTTCTAGTTTATGCACATAAAGGTGTTCATAGTAGCTTTGAACGATCTTTTGTATTTCTGTGGTATTGGTTGTAATATCTCCTGTTTCATTTCTAATGGGGTTTATTTGGATCTTCTCTCTTCTTTTCTTGGTTAATCTTGCTAATGGCCTATCAATTTTATTTATCTTTTCAAAGTACCAGTTTTTGTTTAATTTGTCTTTTGTATATTTTTTAGTTTCAATTTCATTTAGTTCTGCTCTGTTATTGGTTATGACTTTTCTTCTGCTGGGTTTGGGTTTGGTTTGGTTTGTTCTTGTTTCTCTAGTTTCTTGAGGTGTGACCTTAGATTGTCTATTTGTGCTCTTTCAGACTTTTTTATATAGGCATTTAATGCTATGAACTTTCCTCTTAGCATCAGCTTTGCTGTATTCCAGGAGATTTGATAGGTTGTGTCACTACTATTGTTCAGTTCAAGGAATTTTAAATTTTCCTCTTGATTTCATTGTTGACCCAGCAATCATTCAGGAATAGGTTATTTAATTTCCATTATTTGCATGGTTTTGAGGGTTCCTTTTGAAGATGATTTCCAGTTATATTCCACTATAATAGAGAGAGCACTTGCTATAATTTCGATTTTCTTAAATTTGTTGAGACTTGTTTTGTGGCCTATGATATGGTCTTTCTTGGAGAATGTTCCATATGCTAATGAATGGAAGGTATATTCTGCAGTTGTTGGGTAGAATGTTCTGTAAATATCTATTAAATCCATTTGTTCTAGGGTATAGTTTAAGTCCATTGTTTCTTTGTTCACTTTCCGACTTGATGACCTGTCTAGTACTATCAGTAGAGTATTAAAGTCCCACACTATTATTGTTCTGCTGTCTATCTCATTGCTTAGGTCTAGTAGTAATTGTTTTATAAATTTGGGAGCTCCAGTGTGGGTTGCCTGTATATTTAGGATTGTCATATTTTCCTGTTGGACTAATCCTTTTATCATTATACAATGCCCCTCTTTTTTAACTGCTGTTGCTTTAAACTTTGTTTTGTCTGATATTAAAAAATAGCTACTCCTGCTTGCTTCTGGTGTCCAGTTGCATGGACTATGTTTTTCCACCCCTTTATCTTAAGTTTATGTGAGTCCTTATGTGGAAGGTGAGTCTCTCAAAGACAGCAGATACTTGGTTGGTAAATTCTTATCCATTTTGCCACTCTATATCTTTCAAGTGGAGAAATTAGGCCATTTACATTCAATGTTAGCATTGAGATATAAGGTACTATTGTACTCATTGTGCTATTTGTTGCCTGAATACTTTGTTGGGTTTTTTTTTTTCATTGTATTGTTTTATAGGTACTGTGAGTTTTATGCTTTAAGTAGATTCTATTTTGGTGTATTTCAAGGATTTGTTTCAAGATTTAGAACTCCCTTTAGCAGTTCTTGTGGTGCTGGCTTGGTAGTGGCAAATTCTCTCAGAATTTGTTTGTCTGAAAAAGACTGTATCTTCCCTTCATTTATGAAGCTTAGTTTCACCTGATAAAAAATTCTTGCCTGATAATTGTTTTGTTTAAGGAAACTAAAGATAGGAACCAATCCCTTCTAGCTTGTATGGTTTCTGCTGAGAAATCTGCTGTTAATCTGATAGGTTTTCCTTTATAGGTTACTTGATGCTTTTGCCTCACAGCTCTTAAGATTATTTCCTTCATCATGATTTTAGATAACCGATAACTATGTGTCTAGGTGATTATCTTTTTGCAATAAATTTCCCAGGTGTTCTTTGAGCTTCTCGTATTTGGATGTCTAGATCTCTAGCAAGGCTGGGGAACTTTTCCTTGATTATTCCCTCAAATATGTTTTCCAAACTTTTAGATTTCTCCTCTTCCTGGGGAACACCAATATTTTTCGGTTTGACCATTTAACATCCCAAACGTCTTGGAGGCATTTTTTTTCTTTTTTCTTTGTCTTTGTTGGATTGGATTAAATCAAAAGTCCTGTCTTCAAGTTCTGAAGTTCTTTCTTCTACTTGTTCAATATTATTGCCGAGCCTTTCCAGTGCATTTTGTAATTTTCTAAGTGTGTTCTTCATTTCAAGAAGTTGTGATTGTTTTTTATTTATGCTATCTATTTCACTGGCGATTCTTCCATTTGTATCCTGCATCATTTTTTCTTATTTCGTTAAGTTGGACTTCACCTTTCTCTGTTGCCTCCTTGATTGGCTAAGTAGTCGACCTTCTGAATTCTTTTTCTGGCAATTCAGAGGTTTTGTTTTGGTTTGGATCCATTGCTGGTGAGCTAGTGTGATCTTTTGGGGGTGTCAAAGAACCTTGTTTTGTCATATTACCGGAATTGTGTTTCCAGTTTCTTCTCATTTGGGTAGATTATGTCAGTGGGAAGATCTGGGACTCAAGGGCTGCTGTTCAGATTCTTTTGTCCCATGGAGTGATCCCTTAATGTGGTGCTCTCCACTTTCTCCTGCGGTGGAGCTTCCTGAGAGCCAAACTGTGCGATTGTTATTTCTCTTCCAGATCTAATCACCTAGTGGAGCTACTGGGCTCTGGGCTGGTACTGGGTGGGGAGTGTCTGCAAAGAGTCCTGTGATGTGATCCATTATCAGGTCTCTAAGCCATGGATACCAGGACCTGCTCCAGTGGAGATGGCAGGGGAGTGAAGTGGACTCTGTGAAGGTCCTTGGTTGTATTTTTGGTAAGTGTGTTGGTTTTGTGTTGGTTGGCCTCCAGCCATGAGGTGGGGCTTTCAAGAGCACATCAGCTGCGGTTGTATAGGGAGGATACAAGCTTGCCCTGTGGTCACCTTTGGATAAGTGTTCAGGTTTCTCAGGTAGTGTGCAGGCCAATACAGCTCCCAAGGCATTATGTCGTTTGTCTTCAATTAGGGTAGGTAGACAAAGACCATCAGTTGAGGGGCAGGGCTAGGCATGTCTGAGCTCAGACTCTCCTTGGGCAGGGCTTGCTGTGGCTCCTGTGAGGAATGGGGGTGTGGTTTTCAGGCCAATGGAGATACATTCCGGGGGGATTACGGCTGCCTCTGCTGCATCCCACAGGTCACCCGGGAAGTGGGGAAAAGCCTGCAGCCACAGGCCTGACCCAGTTCCCAGGCAGCCTGCAGCCGAAAGGCCAGTTTCACTCCCACTGTGCCCCCTCAACAGCACAGAGTTTATTTCCCGGCAGCCGGTGAGCAGGGCTGAGAATCTGCCCCAGGCTACAAGCCTCTAAGCTGAGAAAGCAAGCAGGCTCACGGTTTCTTGGCTGTCCCATAGAGCCTGCAGCAGCAATCCACCTCCTTCAAAGGGTCTGTGGATTCTCTTGTCTTTGTTGGTATGTTCCTGCAGTAATTCATGAAGTAAAAGTTCATGATGTGGGTCTCCACATGCTGTTCTGTCCATCCAAGTGGTAGCTGCAAGTTAGTTCCGCCTCCTATCTGCCATTTTGTGCCTTATTTTAATAAAATCCAAGTTACCGATTCTTTTCTTACTATTGTACCTAAAAAGCTATTACAAAAGCCACATCACCTAGGTTTTCTTCTGTTATCTTCTAAGAGTTTTATAATTTTGTGTTTTACATTTAAGCCTATGATCCATTTTGGGTTGATTTTTGTGAAAGATGTAAGGACTGTGTCTGCATTTTTTTTTTTTTTTTTTTTTTGGTATATGGATGTCCAGTTGTTCCAGCATCACTTGTTTCAAAGACTATACTTTCCCCCACTGAATTGCCATTGTTTCTTTGTCAAAGATTAGTTGATTGTATTTATACAGATCTATTTTGGTGTTACCTATTTTGTATCATTGATCTATTTATTTATTCTTTTACCTGTACAACACTGTCTTAATTACTGTAGCTTTATAATAAGACTTGAAGTCCAGTAATGACAGTCTCCCAACTGCTCTCCTTCAAGATTGTGTTGGTTATTCTGGGTCTTTTGCCATTCCATATACACTTTGGAATCACTTTGCTCTTATCTACAAAATAACTTGCTGGGACTAAATTGAATCTATAGATCAAGTTGGAAAGAACTCAATCTTGACAATATTGAATATTGCTATCCATGTACCTGGAATATCTCTTCATTCATTCATTCATTCATTCATTTGAAAAAGGGCCTCCCTCTGTCACCCAGGCTGGAGTGCAGTGGCGTGATCGTGGCTCACTGCAACCTTGAACTTCTGGGCTCAAGTGATCCTCTCAACTCAGCCTCCTGGGTAGTTAGGACTGCGGGTGCATGCCACAACACATGGCTATTTTTTTGGTTTTGTTTAGAAACTGGGGTCTCACAACATTGCCCCGGGCCAGACTTGAACTCCTGGCCTCAAGAAATCCTCCTGCCTCAGCCTCCCAAAATGTTGTGATTACAGCCATGAACCATCACCTTCACCACCCCCCCATTTATTTAGATCTTCTATGATTTCTTTCATCAGTCTTCTGATTTTCGTTATATAGATCTTACATGTATTTTGTTACATTTATATATAAGTATTTCAGTTATTTTAGATGCCAATGTAAATGGTACTGTGTTTTTAATTGTTCATTGCTGGTATATAAGAAAGCAACTGACTTACATATATTAACCTCATATCCTGCAACTTTGCTGAAATCACTTGTTAGTTCCAGAAGTGTTTTTGTTGATTCTGTGGGATGTGCTACATAATCATGTAATCTGCAAACAAAGATAGTGTTATTTCTTCCTTCCCAATCTGTATATCTTTTGTTTGCTTTTCTGATCTTACTGTATTACAGCTAGGACTTCCACTAAGATGTTAAATAGAAATCCTTGGGGATACATCCTTACCTTGTTCATGATCTTAGCAGGTAAGCATCTAGTTCCTTACAATTAAGTATAATGTTGCTGTAGGTTCTTGGTAGATGTTCTTTATCAAGTTGAAGAAGTTCCCTTCCATTCCTAGTTTGTTGAGGGTTTTTATCATGTGTGGGTGTGAGATTTTGTCAAATGCAATGCTTACTCTGCATCTACTAATATAATCATTTAATTGTTTTTTCTGTAGCCTGTTGGTGTGATGGTTTACATTAATTTTTTTAATGCTAAATGAGCCTTGTATAACTGGAATAAATCCCACTTGGTCATAGTGTATAATTCTTTTTGTACATTGTTGGATTTGATTTGCTAATATTTTGTAGATGATTTTTGCATTTATGTTCATGAGACATATTGGTCTGTAGTTTTCCTTTCTGGTAATGTCTTTGTCTGGATTTGATACTTGGGTAATGCTAATCCTCCAGGGATGAACTGGAAATATTCCATCTGCTTCTATTTTCTAGAAGAGATTACAGAGAACTGATATAATTTTTTCCTTGAATGTTTTGTTAGAATTCACCAGTAAACACATGTGGGCCTGGTGCTTTCTGTTTTGGAAGATTACTAATAATTGGTTTAATTTCTTCAATAGATACAGGCCTATTCAGATTATCTATCTGTCCTCATGTGAGTTTGCTACATTATGTCTTTCAAAGATCAAATATAGTTCTTCTGTTTTGCTCACTCTTTCTTCTGCTTCTGGTAGTCCAAACGCACATCTATGTTACACCTTTTGAAACTGTCACACAGTTATTGGATATTCTATTCACCAGCCCACCCCCAATTGCCTTCCTTCTTTACATTTCCATTTGAGAAGTTTCTATTTATCTATCTTCAAACTCAATGACTCATTCTATGTCTGAGTCTAATCTATAGATACGTACATCAAAGTCATTTATTTCTGTACAGTGTTTTTGATTTCTAGAATTTCCTTTTGAATCTTAGAGTTTCCACCTCTAGGCTTTCATTAGTCATCTTCCATGTTGCTTACCTGTATACATTTTGTCTAATCTCTACATTAAATCTTTTCACATAGTTTCATTGTTATTTTAAATTCCTTTTCTAACAATTCCATAATCTATGCTATTGCTGACTCTGGTTCTGTTAACTGCTGTATCTGTTTAGATGATTGTATTTTTTCTGGTCTTTGGAATGCCTTGTAATTTTTTGTTGAAAACCACACGTTTGTATTGATTAATAGGAACTGAGGTAAATGACCTTTAGAGTATTTACGTTAATCTGTGTAAGTGCACTTGATGTGTGCTATAGCCATATATGCCAGAGACTTCAAATTTCTCTAGTGTCTTCGTTTGTGCCTTTGTTCTTGACTTTGGACTTCTTGAAATATTCCTCCTCAGACAGAGTCTGCACTTGTTATTATATGAAGACTGGTTAGCATGTTATGGTAAGATGTGGGAGAAGGAAAATGCTCAATGATTTTATGATTAAATCTCAGTCTTGATATAATGGGTCTGTGTGTCTGGGCTGTGACATTCACAAGTGTTTCTCCAGTTGTAACACCTTTTGCCCCCATCTGATGAGACAGGAAGGCCAAGGTGGCTAAAGTTGAGCAATGCCCTTCCCCTACCTTGGATAAGGCTCTAGTAAAGCCTTTTTTCCAGGAAAATACTTTTTTGTTAGGGAGAATGCTCTGAGTATATTTTACAATGCTTATTCGGAAGAATAAGCACCCTGCCAGAGTCATAAAGGAATCTTTCTCAGATCTCTACCATGAGAACCTGGTGGGTTCCCTAAAAGGAAAAGTATTGGGGGTTCCCGAACATTTCAGTAACCAGCAGTTTCTCATTCTCATGCTAGTCCCACATTCAGCACCCACCAATTTGAAAAAAGTTACTATTTGAGTGTTTCTGTAAGTTTATGGCTTTAGTGGCTTCTGCACTATCTGTGATTATCTGGATTTGCTTTTCTCTTCAGGCTTCTGGCTGTAGGTTTTCACTGAAATCTCAGTTCTCTAATAGGTCCAAGAAAAGTTGTTAATTTTAAGACTGATCAACATCTTATTGTTTTAAGAATGGGAGTAACAACTTCCAAGCTCTTTGCATGTTGAAGTTGAAACCAGAAATCTAATTAACTGATTTTTAAAATTATTAAGCCAATCATAAATTCTTATATTAATCCCTAGCTGGGTCAACTTCTTGCTATTTTGTTAAAGAGTTTTAAATCACCTTGTCAATATTTACCAAAAATAAAAACAAAAACAACAAACCATGCTGAGATCATGATTAGGATTGGATTGAATCTCTAGCAATTTGGAAAGAACCTCTTAATGACACTGAGTCATTCAACACACAAACATGATCTTTTTCTCCACTGATTTCAGTCTTCTATAATTTCTATCTGCTGTGTTTTATAATTTTCAGTATAGAGGTCTTGAATATCCTTTGTTCAATTATCCCTAAGTACTTTATTATTTTTATCAATATTAAAGTTAATTTTTATTTAGTTTTTCAATTTATTACTCATATCACATAAAAATATAATTATTAAATATTTGTTTCTGTAATCTTGCTAAGTTTACTTATTAGGTCTAATAGTTGCTTTTTAGATTCATTGAGATTTTTACATAATCAATATGTAGATCTGCAAATACAGATAAGTACTGGAAAGAATATGAATCTACTGAAACAGTGACATATTGCTGGTGAGAGTGTAAAATTGTACCCCTATTTTGGAAAATAGCTTGGCAATTTCCTATGAAGTTAAATATATATTTGCCATAAGACACCTAATGTTTGGTATTCATAATAGCCAAAAGATAGAAAAACAAGTCCATGAACAAGTGAAAAAATAAGCAAACTGTGACATATCTATACATTTGTATACTACTCAGCAATAATAAGTCATGAACTACTGATAAATAAGTCTTGAACTACAAGATTAAATCATTATGCTGAAGGAAATACCTCAGACAGAAAACAATATATACTGTATAATTCCATTTATATGGAACTCAAAAAAAGACAACCCTGCTATGTGGTGACAGAAGGTTAGTAGTGTTTTCCTACGGTGGATGTTGATGTAAGAGGTAGATATTGTAGATGACACAAACAAATAGAAAAGCATTCTATATTCATGGATTGGAAGAATTAATATCATTAAAATGTCCATACTGCTCAAAACAATCTACAGACTCAACACTATTCCTATCTATTTACCAACATGACTTTTCATGGAATTAGAAAAAAAAATTCTAAAATTCACATGGAACCAAAAGAGCCTGAATAGCCAATATAATTCTAAGCAAAAAGAACAAAGCTGGAGGCATCATATTACCTGACTTCAAACTATATGGCAAGGCTACAGTAATCAAAACAGCATGGTACTGGTACAAAAACAGACATACAGACCAATGGAACAGAAGAGAGAGCCCAGAAATAATGCTGTATACCTACAACCATCTGATCTTTGACAAAGTTGACAAAAATAAACAACAGGGAAAGGATATCCTAATTCAATAAATGATGCTGGGAAAACTGACTAACCATATGTAGAATGAAACTAATCCCCTACTTCTCACCATAAAAAAGGTTAACTTAAAATGGATTAAAGACTTAAATGTAACATCTCAAACTACACAATCTTAGAAGAAAATCTAGGAAATACCCTTCTAGATATTAACCTCAAAGGCAAATGCAACAAAACCAAAAATTGACAGTTGGGACCTAATTGAACTAAAACCTTCCATACAGCAAAAGAAACTATCAACAGAGTAAACAAATGACCTACAGAATGGGAGAAAATATTTGCAAACCAGGCATCCAACAAAGGACTAATACCCAAAACCTATAAGAAACAAATAACTCCGTTGAAAGTGGGCAAAGATCATGAACAGACACTTATCCAAAGAAGACATACAAGCACCCAACAAACATATAAAAAATGCTCAACATCACTAATCATCAGAAAGATGCAAATTAAAACCACAATATGATACCATCTCACACCAGTCAGAATGACTATTATTAAAAAGTCGGAAAATAACAGATGTTGGCAAGGTTGCCAAGAAAAGGGAACACTTATATACCATTGGTGAGAATGCAAATTAGTTCAGCCTCTGTGGAAAGTAGTTTGGAGATTTCTCAAAGTAAAAACAGAATTACCATTTAACCTAGCAATCCCATTAATGGGTATATATCCAAAGGAAAATAAATCATTCCACCAAAAAGTCATTTGGCCTCATATGTTTATTACAGCACTATTCATAATAGCAAGAACATGGAATCAACCCAGGTGCCCATCAATGATAGATTGGATAAAGAAAATGTGGTACATATACACCATGCAATACTATGAAGCCATAAAAAAAAAGAATAAAATCGTGTCCATTGCAGCAACATGGATGCAGCTGGAGGCCATTATCATAAGCAAATTAATAAAGAAACAGAAAATCAAATACTGCATCTTCTCACTTGTAAGTAGGAACTAAACACTGAGTATAAATGGACACAAAGATAGGAACCATAAATACTGGAGATATCAAAAGGGTGGAGGGAAGATGGAAGGTGGATAAGGGTTGAAAAACTACCTATCAGGTACTTTGTTTCCTACTTGGGTGATGGGATCATTAGAAGCCCAAACCTCAGTATCAAACAACATACCAATGTAACAAACCTGCACATGCACATGTATCCCCTAAATCTAAGAATAATAATAACAATAATAATTACCCAAATAAAACTGAGCAAAATATTTAAATCGACATTTCTCTAAAGGAAATATACAAACTGACAATAAATGCATGAAAAGAAGGTCAACATCATTAGTCCAGGGACATGCCTATCAAAACCACCATGAAATACCACTCTACAGCCACTAAGATGGCTATATTCAAAAAAATAAACAATAGCAAGTGTTGGTAAAGATATCCATATGGAAGATATAAAGAAATTTAAGATCTAACACATTGCTGGTGGGAATGTGAAACCATGCAACCTTTTTGGAATTCAATAATAGCAGCTCCTCATAATGTAAAACATAGAGTTACCACATGATGCAGCAATTCCCTTCCTGAATACATGCCCAAGACAAATGAAAACATATGCACACAAAAGCCTGTGCACAAATGTTCATAGAAGCATGATTTATAATAACCAAGAAGTAGAAAGGCAATCCAAGTATCCATCAACTACTGTAATGAATATATAATAAAATGTGGTATATCCATAAAATAGAATTTTATTTGCCAATAAAAAAATCAAGTATTGATACATGCATAAACTTTGCAAACATTATATTAAATGAAATAAGTCAGTCACAAAAGACTACATATGGCATGATTTCATTTATATAAAATTTCCACAATAAGGAAATCTATATAGACAGAAAATAGATCCATAGTAGCTAGGATTAGGAGGATTTGGGGGAAATAGAAAATAGAAAGTGACTGTCTAATAGGTACAGAGTTTCTTTCTGGAGTGATGGAAATGTTCTAAAATTCACTGTAGTAATTATTGCACAACCCCGTGAACATACCAAAATCACTGAATTGTTTACTTTAAATGATTAAATTATGTGGTAGCCAAGTTATGTGTCAATAAAGCAGCTTAAAAAGTTTAACAACAAAACAAAAAAAAAGATATAACAAATTCATTATAAGTGTCCAGCTTTGGATGGGAAAGGGGCTGAAAAAGAGGATTTGGGATCTTAATTGTATCTGTAATAACTTTTTTTTTTTAAAAGTGAATATTACCAGGAGTAACATCTGTTCATTTTGGATGGCAGATTTCTTAGACTTTGTTACAGCATTCTAAGTATTTTCTAAGTATATTTAGCTATAATGGTAAGCAGGTAAATGAGGATGAAGCTTGAGAGGAATAGAGGGTACCAAGAACTGATAGTGGCGCACTAGTATCACTTGTCCTTATACCATTTGAGTGTCCACTAGGCTAACTCCCAATTATCTGAAAATCTCAGAATGCTCAAATTGGGAAAATATTGTCCTTGCTATAAAAATAAAGGGTTGCAGGACTCATCTAATAGGTACTGGCAACAACCAGGAGACCATACTGAGAAATGGATGTTAGAAGCACTGAACTGGGGAGAGTATAGCATATAAGAACGAATAAGGGGACGGGGATTTTACTGATTCAGAGACACTTTTCTAGAACTGAGGATTTAACATGGTAGGAAGTACACCTGCAGCCAAGCCTAAATGTTACCGGGATAGTTTCAAGGCTTAAAAATGACTATGATAATGAGGTTGAGATGCTGTAACTACCTCGGCGAAGTACAAAGAAAGCAGTCCTGAAACTCCAAGAGGTAGACATACTAGATTTAAAACATAATACAAGAAAGACAACCAAATGATTATATTCCCCTACTGAACCCAAATAATATTTCTTTCACCAAAGCAATAAGTACAATCGGCCCTTGAACAACACAAGTTCAAACTATGTTAGTCCACTTAAACATGAATTTTTTATTTGCCTCTGCCACCCCAGACAGCAAGACAAACCCCTTCTCTTCCATCTCCTTCTCAACCTACTCAAAGTAAAGATAACAAGGATGAAGACCCTTATGACAATCTACTTCCACTAAATGAATAAATATATTTTCTCTTTCTTATGATTTTCTTAATATTTTCCTTTCTCTAGCTTCCGTTATTATACGAATACAGTATACAACACATTTAATGTATGAGATAGGTATTAATTGACTGTTTATGTTATTAGTATGGCTTGCAGTCAACAGTAGGCTATTAGTAAAGTTTTTGTAGAGTCAAAAGTTGTACACAGGCTTTTGACGGTGTGGCAGATCAGTTCCCCTAACCCCCGTGTTGTTCAAGGGTCAACTATTATCTGCTAGTGAGAAGCTCAGTGATAGTTTCTTCTGCTTGCCAGGATTGATGGTAGGGAATAATGCTGTAACACTAGGTTCTCTAGTATCAGTGAGAAAAAAAACAGAATTCTGGAATAGCAGAAGACTAATATTAGACACCAAAGGGAAAATTAAAATACCTTGCCCAGTTTCCATAAATGAGCCAGTTCTCAGATCCAGAGCCTATCAATTGAAGGGGAGACCAATTCCTCTTGAAGAAGATGCTGCAGTGCCACAACAACTATGTGTAGTAGTGATTCCCTCACTCCTTCCCCAAAGATATATATAGTCATTTACCTAAATAATTATGTACTGCTGAAAGGGGAAGACTCGAATCTCTTAAGGACTGTTGAACTTGGAGACTTAAAACACTATCATGGCCCCCCATATGCCCAATTAATTAATAGGTCTGAGTTCTCCAAAAATGATATGAATCATAGCAGACAACTGTAAATTCCTACAAATTTAACCAAGTGGTATTTCAATCACACTTGTAATATCAGATGAAGTATCTTTACTAGAACATGTCAACATAGCCTCTAGCATGTGGTGTGCAACTGTTGATGTGTTGAAAATATCCCCATTTTTAAAACTCAGTAGGAGTCCAAGCAGATGCCTTTCGAGTTCTTGAGCAAGGCCATGATGTCTGCATAGGGAACATTCATCATTCAAAAAGAAATTCCTGACATGCTACTAGGCCCTTGTAGACACTAAATAGATGATCTAGAAAAAAACATTACGATCCACCAAATAAGAAGAGTTGGCACAATAGCAAAAACATGATAGAAGTGGTACATTCAGAATTAGGCCCAACTAAGTTCATATATAAGTGACTCAGATCCCCATTTCACCTTTCTCTAATTGCACCATTATTGCTTCCTCTGCTCATAGCTATGAACATGTAGGTGTTTCCTTATAACTACCACAAAGAGGAGAAATAAGAATGCGCTTTTTAAATAAATGGGTCCTCTCCATAAGGTGGTACAGTAATAAATGAACTGCTACCACATTCAGATGTGGTTGTGTTAAAACAGTGGTGAAGGGAATTCCTCCCACTGAGCAAGGATCCAAGCAGTACACTTAGTCATAAACTTGGTATGGACAGAGAAGTAATGTGAGGAAGGATAAATGCAGACTGTTGGGCAGTTGCAAATGGCATGATTGGTTGGTCAGGAGTCTAGAAAATAAATTGGAAGATTAGAGACCAAGAGGGGGAAGAAGCATGTGAATGAATCTAGGGGAGTGCATGCAAGGTATGTGGATTCTTATTTCTTATGTCAATGCCTAACATAGTACATCTACCACTGAAGAGACACTAAAAACCCAGTTAAGTAGGATGACCAATTGGTGAAGATAAGTCAGCCATTGTCTGTCCTCAGCCACCCCACTGCCTTCATAATGAGGAACAGAGTGACCAGGTGGCAGGAATGGAGGCTACGCATGGAACCAATGTTATGAAATCCTTCTCTTTAAAGTTCATCTACTCACTGTCTCTACTGCATATCCAACCAGTCAGAAGAATCCAAGCTAAACCATCAATATGATATCATTCCTCAAAAGATCAACCACCCACTTGGTAAAAAAAAAAAATTGATTATATTAAACCGTAAGAAACTATTCCATCCTGGAAAAGATAGATATTTTATTTATTACAATTGCTACATATTCTAAATATGGATTTTCCTTGTGCTGGACCACTATCTCAGAAACATAAAGTGATTTAGCCTCAACAAATTCCATATAAAATTGCCTCAAACCAAAGGACCCAGTTGACAATGAAGGAGATGAAATAAAGGACACATTACCATTGAATATACTAGTAGTACTATTATCACATAAGCTAAAAGCTAGCAGCCTAAGAGTGTGCTGGAATAGCCTCTTAAACCATTGTAAGGAACCAGCTTAAACATGATACTATATAGTTTTAAGTGTGTTATTATTCAAGATGAGGATTAATACTTCCAGTCAATGTCCATTATTTGGTGTTGTATCCCCATTAGTTGTAATATATAGGTTTGAGAACCAAAAAGTAGAAGTAGAAATGGTTTCCTCATACCATCATTCTCAATGTCTATTTTGGAAATGTGCACTTCCTGTCTATATAAATTTAGTCACTGTTGCACTAGAGACATTAGTTCCAGGGGAGGGAATGCTTCTACAAGGGGATATAAGAATTACAGTAAACCTAAGGCTACCACTTGGATACTTTAGAACCTCTCATGACACTAGACCAGCTGGCAAAGGAATGAGTTATTATACTGGGAACTGACCCTGATTATTATGAGGGGCTAGAGTTGTTGCTACTAAAAGTGGTCCAGGAGAAGCTTATTATTGAGGCGTCGATGCCCAGTACTAATCACTTATAAGCAAATGGAGAAAGCACAGCTTAACAAGTACTCTGACACCCAGAAAAGGCCTACATAAACCCAGTAGGAAAGAAACCTAAAATAGCAGAAGTGCTGGATGAGAGTAAGGAAAATCTATAAAAAACGGTAAAAGAAAAAATGATAAATATCTATTACAACCTTAGAATTAACCATAGCAGCAGGAAAGTATAGTTTTTTCCACTAACTCTCCCATTATAAATTTTTTTTAATGTCATAAATGAATAACACCTGTAAGTATTAGTTTACATAGTAAACTTAACATGGAGCATAAGAGTAACTGTGTAGTAAAAGATGTGTATCTGTAGAAGATGCTGTCAGTATCCTGACCACATTCTTTTGACCATTACAATTTCTATGCAGGCAGGGTAACCTTCAACTACAAGCAGTGCAAGCTTCAACTACAAGCAGTTAAAGGCTTTCTCTAACCACTGATGCTCATTCTGCCTATGTAAACAACAGATCAGAAGTACTAGTGAATAATATCCCACCCTCATCCTGTTATCTCCTGCTGCGTCAAGTAATGATTTAACAGAGTTGAATATCTCATTCCTGAGGAGAATAATGCTGCTATATCTATTAAAGAATTTTAATTTCTAGTTTAAAACTTTCCAAGAAAAAAATTCATACCCAAATGGTTTCACTGTTGAATTCCAGCAAACATTTAAGGAATTAAAAAAACACTAATTTCACACAAACTCTTCCCAAATATAGAATAGATGCAAATAATTCTCAATTAAATTTGAGGCCAGAATTTTATTAATAACTACACCAGCCAAAACTATTATCATAAAAGAAAGCTACAGACAAATATTCTTTAGAAACAAGAAAAACAGTCAACAAAATCCTCAGTGATCAAAAAGAACAATATATAAGATAGATAATGTATCATAATCAAGGGGGCTTATCACAGAAATGTAAAGTAACTTCAATATCTATTCAAAATTAATGTAGTTTAACATACAAGTAGAATTTAAAAATGTAAAAGTATAATTTCAATAACTTTTAAAAAGCTGGAGAACTTCCCCAATCTAGCAAGACAGGCCAATATTCAAATTCAGGAAATACAGAGAACGCCACAAAGATACTCCTCAAGAAGAGCAACTCCAAGACACATAATTGTCAGATTCACCAAAGTTGAAATGAAGGAAAAAATGTTAAGGGTAGCCAGAGACAAAGGTCGGGTTACCCACAAAGGGAAGCCCATCAGACTAACAGGTGATCTCTCAGCAGAAACTCTACAAGCCAGAAGAGAGTGGGGGCCAATATTCAACATTCTTAAAGAAAATAATTTTCAACCCAGAATTTCATATACAGCCAAACTAAGCCTATAAGTGAAGGTGAAATAAAATCCTTCACAGACAAGCAAATGCTGAGAGATTTTGTCACCACCAGGCCTGCCCTAAAAGAGCTCCTGAAGGAGGCACTAAACATAGAAAGGAAAAACTGGCACCAGCCACTGCAAAAACATGCCAAATTGTAAAGACCATTGATACTAGGAAGAAACTGTATCAACTAACAAGCAAAATAACCAGCTAACATCATAATGACAGGATCAAATTCATACATAACAATATCAACCTTAAATGTAAATGGGCTAAATGCCCCAATTAAAAGACACGGACTGGCAAAGTGGATAGAGTCAAGATCCATCAGTGTGCTGTATTGAGGAAACCCATCTCACGTGCAGGGACACACATAGGCTCAAAATAAAGGGATGGAGGAAGATCTACCAAGCAAATGGAAAACAAAAAAAGGCAGGGATTGCAATCCTAGTCTCTGATAAAACAGACTTTAAACCAACAAAGATCAAAAGAGACAAAGAAGGCCATTACATAATGGTAAAGGGATCAATTCAACAAGAAGAGCTAACTATCCTAAATATATATGCACCCAATACAGGGGCACCCAGATTCACAAAGCAAGTCCTTAGAGACCCACAAAGAGACTTAGACTCCCACACAAAAATAATGGGAGACTTTAACACCCCACTGTCAACATTAGACAGAACAACGAGACAGAAAGTTAACAAGGATACCCAGGAATTGAACTCAGCTCTGCACCAAGCAGACCTAACAGACATCAACAGAACTCTCCACCCCAAATCATCAGAATACACATTCTTTTCAGCACCACACCATACCTATTCCAAAAGTGACCACATAGTTGGAAGTAAAGCACTCCTCAGCAAATGTAAAAGAACAGAAATCATAACAAACTGTCTCTCAGACCACAGTGCAATCAAACTAGAAGTCAGGATTAAGAAACTCACTCAAAACCACTCAACTACATGGAAACTGAACAACCTGCTCCTGAATGACTACTGGGTACATGACGAAAAGAAGGCAGAAATAAAGATGTTCTTTGAAACCAATGAGAACAAAGATACAACATACCAGAATCTCTGGGACACATTTAAAGCAGTGTGTAGAGGGAAATTTATAGCACTAAACGCCCACAAGAGAAAGCAGGAAAGATCCAAAATTGACACCCTAACATCACAATTAAAAGAACTAGAAAAGCAAGAGCAAACACATTCAAAAGCTAGCAGAAGGCAAGAAATAACTAAGATCAGAGCAGAACTGAAGGAAATAGAGACACAAAAAACCCTTCAAAACATCAATGAATCCAGGAGCTGGTTTTGTGAAAAGATCAACAAAATTGATAGACCGCTAGCATGACTAATAAAGAAGAAAAGAGAGAAGAATCAAATAGACGCAATAAAACATGATAAAGGGGATATCACCACCGTTCACACAGAAATACAAACTACCATCAGAGAATACTATAAACACCACTATGCAAATAAACTAGAAAATCTAGAAGAAATGGATAAATTCCTGGACACATACACCCTCTCAAGACTAAATAAGGAAGAAGTTGAATATCTGAATAGACCAAAAACAGGCTCTGAAATTGAGGCAATAATTAATAGCCTACCAACCAAAAAAAGTCCAGGACCAGATGGATTCACAGCCAAATTCTACCAGAGTTACAAGGAGGAGCTGGTAACATTCCTTCTGAAACTATTCCAATCAATAGAAATAGAGGGAATCCTCCCTAACTCATTTTATGAAGCCAGCATTATCCTGATACCAAAGCCTGGCAGAGACACAACCAAAAAAGAGAATTTTAGACCAACATCCCTGATGAACATCGATGCAAAAATCCTCAACAAAATACTGGCAAACCGAATACAGGAGCACATCAAAAAGCTTATCCACCATGATCAAGTGGGCTTCATCCCTGGGATGCAAGGCTGGTTCAACATATGCAAATCAATAAACGTAATCCAGCATATAAATAAAACCAATGACAAAACCCACATGATTATCTCAATAGATGCATAAAAGGCCTTTGACAAAATTCAACAACGCTTCATGCTAAAAACTCTCAAAAAATTAGGTATTCATGGGACGTATCTCAAAATAAGAAGAGCTATCTATGACAAACCCACAGCCAATATCATACCAAATGGGCAAAAACTGGAAGCATTCCCTTTGAAAACTGGCACAAGACAGGGATGCCCTCTCTCACCACTCCTATTCAACATAGTGTTGGAAGTTCTGGCCAGGGCAATCAGGCAGGAGAAGGAAATAAAGGGTATTCAATTAGGAAAAGAGGAAGTCAAATTGTCCCTGTTTGCAGACGACATGATTGTATATCTAGAAAACCCCATTGTCTCAGCCCCAAATCTCCTTAAGCTGATAGGCAACTTCAGCAAAGTCTCAGGATACAAAATCAATGGGCAAAAATCACAGGCATTCTTATACACCAATAACAGACAAACAGAGAGCCAAATCATGAGTGAACTCCCATTCACAATTGCTTCAAAGAGAATAAAATACCTAGGAATCCAACTTACAAGGGATGTGAAGGACCTCTTCAAGGAGAGCTACAAACCACTGCTCGATGAAATAAAAGAGGATACAAACAAATGGAAGAACATTCCATGATCATGGGTAGGAAGAATCAATATCATGAAAATGGCCATACTGCCCAAGGTAATTTATAGATTCAGTGCCATCCCCATCAAGCTACCAATGACTTTCTTCACAGAATTGGAAAAAACTACTTTAAAGTTCATATGGAACCAAAAAAGAGCCTGCATTGCCAAGTCAATCCTAAGCCAAAAGAACAAAGCTGGAGGCATCACGCTACCTGACTTCAAACTATACTGCAAGGCTACAGTAACCAAAACAGCGTGGTACTGGTACCAAAACAGAGTAGACCAATGGAACAGAACAGAGCCCTCAGAAATAATGCCATATATCTTCAACCATCTGATCTTTGACAAACCTGACAAAAACAAGAAATGGGGAAAGGATTCCCTATTTAATAAATGGTGCTGGGAAAACTGCCTAGCCATATGTAGAAAGCTGAAACTGGATCCCTTCCTTACACCTTATACAAAAATTAATTCAAGATGGATTAAAGACTCACATGTTAGACCTGAAACCATAAAAACCCTAGAAGAAAACCTAGGCAATACCATTCAGTTCATAGGCATGGGCAAGGACTTCATGTCTAAAACACCAAAAGCAATGGCAACAAAAGCCAAAATTGACAAATGGGATCTAATTAAACTAAAGAGCTTCTGCACAGCAAAAGAAACTACCATCAGAGTGAACAGGCAACCTAGAGCATGGGAGAAAATTTTTGCAATCTACTCATCTGACAAAGGGCTAATATCCAGAATCTACAATGAACTCAAACAAAATTACAAGAAAGAAACAACCCCATTAAAAAGTGAGCAAAGCATATGAACAGACACTTCTCAAAAGAAGACATTTATGCAGCCAAAAGACACATGAAAAAATGCTCATCATCACTGGCCATCAGAGAAATGTAAATCAAAACCACAATGAGATACCGTCTCACACCAGTTAGAATGGCAATCATTAAAAAGTCAGGAAACAACAGGTGCTGGAGAGGATGTGGAGAAATAGGAACACTTTTACACTGTTGGTGGGACTGTAAACTAGTTCAACCATTGTGGAAGTCAGTGTGGCAATTCCTCGGGGATCTAGAACTAGAAATACCATTTGACCCAGCCATCCCATTACTGGGTATATACCCAAAGGATTATAAAACATGCTGCTATAAAGACACATGCACACGTATGTTTATTGAGGCACTATTCACAATAGCAAGGACTTGGAACCAAGCCAAATGTCCAACAATAATAGACTGGATCAAGAAAATGTTGCACATATACACCATGGAATACTATGCAGCCATAAAAAATGATGAGTTCATGTTCTTTGTAGGGACATGGATGAAGCTGGAAACCATCATTCTCAGCAAACTATCGCAAGGACAAAAAACCAAACACCGCATGTTCTCACTCATAGCTGGGAATTGAACAATGAGAACACATGGACACAGGAAGGGGAACATCACACACTGGGGCCTGTTGTGGGGTGGGGGGCTGGGGGAGGGATTGCATTAGGAGGTATACCTAATGTAAAATGACAAGTTAATCTCTTAAAAGAAAATATAGTAAAAATACTTTGATACTGATCTTGGTAATGATTGTTTTGAATATGATACCAAAAGCAAAGGCAAAAACAACAACAAAATAAACAAATGGGACTATATCAAACTGAGTTTCTGCAAATAAAATCATCAACAAAATTAAAGGCCACTGAAGATTAGCAGATCATATTTATTTGCAAACCATATATCTGATATGCATATATAAAAGAAACTCATATAACTCAATAACAAAAAAAACCCTCAAATTTTAAAATGGGCAAATGACCTGAATAGATATTTTCCAAAGAAGACACACAACAGATGGACAATAGATATATGAAAATGCGCTCAACATTACTAATCATCAGGGAAGCACTAATGAAAACAACAATGAGATATTATCTCACATCGATTAGAATGCCTATTATCAAAGAGAAGAAAGATAAGTGTTGATGAGAATGTGAAGAAAAAGAAACAACTGTACACTATTAGTGAAAAACATAAATTGGTACAGCCATTTTGGAAAACAGTAAAAAGGATCCTCAAATAATTAAAAATACTATATGATCCAGTAATCTCTCTTCTGGGTATATATGAAAAAGGAAATAAAATCAGTATGTCATAGATATATCTGCACTTGAAGGTTCATTAAAGCATTATTCATTATAGCCATAATATGAGAACAACCTAAGTGTCTGTCAATGGATGAATGGATAAAAAAATGTGGTGAATGCATACAATAGAATATTATTCGGCCTTGAAAAAGAGGAAAGAGCCAAGATGGCTGACTAGACACAGCTAGGAAGAGCTTCTCTCACTGAGTGGCCAGACCATGAAGATCAGCACACCCCAATGAAATCTTCAGAAGGAAGGCTTTGAGAGTGAATGGACAGAGAATGCAGAATCTGCGCTGAAGGGAGAGGAAGCTGGGAACCCTATACAGGGTTGCAGAGCACTAGGACTCATTCCTGGCCCCACGAAGCTCCTGGAGAAAGAATGAGTTAAATAGGCATGGAGTGGCCCACTCTTGCCATGTAACCAAGGACACCTAGATGCAGGAGACTCCATGAGCTCCAAGTGGGAGCTGCTTGGGAGTTAGCAGAGACAGGACTCCATCCTGCAAAGCCCAGAGGGTTTGACGTGGGAATGGCTGCAGTGGAGCACAGCCAGGGATACCCATCCTCCAAGGCTCACCACACTGTTCCAGGTGGCTTAGGTATTTTTTGACTGTCAAACTTGCACAGAACAGAGCTATCGTGCCTGTGGGATGTGACCAGTCTGATCTGAGTATCCCCTTTCTGCAAGAATTCCCGAGGATCTCTGCCTGGCCACATCCACTTGCAGTGTAGCCTCAGATGCTCAACCAGGGCACTTCCAAGTAGCTACTGCTATAGCTCTTTTACTGGAAGACCCAGCCTAACTGTAAGAGAGTTTTTTCACATGGGCCTTGCCAGCATGCATCCACCTGCAGCCTCCCCAATGGCTATGCCAGTACACATGCCTATGCACAGACCCTGCCATGCTGCTGCCACCTGCCACTCCCAGCACATGCATGTGGGCATGGATCATGTTGCCATCACCTTGACAAAGGGCTTTTGCCAGCATCCACCAATGCAGTATCATTGCCAGAGGACCAGAAACACTTACCCCCTTCCCCCCGCCACCCCGGCTGAGTACATCAAATGGTTAACTTTGAGAAGCCAGAGAACAAAGCCATAGGCTTGATCCCAGCAACCCCAGGATTAAAGTGCACAGCCCAAGAGTGCTGAGTTGAGCCATGGCCTCCTGAAATCATCCAGAAATGAAGCCAGTCAACTAAACCCAACTTATACCACAGTCGAACATTCAAAGGTAGCAAAGAATATAAAAAGAAAAAGCCCCATCCAAAGGACAGCAACTTCAAAGATTAAAGGAACATCAGCCCACACAGATGAGAATCAGTGCAAGACCTCTGGCAACTGTAAAATCCGGAGTGCCTTCTTACCTCCAAATGACCATATTAGCTTCCCAGCAATAGTTCTTAACCAAACTGAAATGGCTGAAATGACAGACATAGAATTCAGGATCTGGATGGCAATGGCAATGATCATCAAGATTCAGGAGGAAGTTGAAATTCAATACAAAAGAAATCTAAGAAATCCAGTAAAACAATTCAAGAGCAGAAAGATGAAATAGCCATTTAAGAAAGAACCTAACTGATCTGATAGACATGAAAAACTCACCACAAGAATTTCATAATTCAATTGGAAATACTAACAGCAGAATATACTAAGTTCAGGAAAGAGCCTCAGAACTCAAAGACTGGCTCTTCAAATCTATTCAGTCAAGAAAAAAATAAGGAAAAAAGAATGTAAAAGAATGAACATAATATATAAGATATATGGAATTTTTATAGACCAAATCTATGACTCCTTAGTGTCACTGAAAGAGAGGGGGAGAGAGCAAGCAACTTGTAATACATATTTGAGGATTTTCTTCATGAAAATTTCCCCAACCTCACTAGAGAGGTTCACATTCAAATTCAGGAAATTCAGAGAACCCCTGGAAGATACTATGCAAGATGACCACCCCCAAAACACACAGTCATCAGATTCCCCAAGCTCAATGTGAAGGACAAAATATTAAAGACAGCTAGAGAGAAGGGGAGGTCACCTAAAAAGGGAGCCCCATCAGGCTAACAGCAGAACTTTCAGCAGAAACCCTGTAAGCTAGAAAAGACTGGGGGCCTATATTCAACATCATTAAAGAAAAGAAATGTCAATCACAAATTTCATATCCCACCAAACTAAAGGAGAAATGAAATATTTTTCAGACAAGCAAATAAAGGAGACAAATAAAGGAGAAATGCAATATTTTTCAGACAAGCAAATGCTAAGAAAATTTGTTACCATCAAGACCTGCCTTACAAGAGCTCTTTAAGGAAGTGCTAATCCTGAAAATGAAAGACTTACCACCCATCACAAAAACATATGTAAGTACACAGACCATTGACGCTATAAAGCAACTACACAATAAAGTCCACAAAAAAAAACCCCAGCTAACAACACAATGACAGGATCAAATTGGCACATGTCAATATTAATCTTGAACATAAATGGGCTAAATGACTCATTTTAAAGGCACAGCATAGTCAATTAGATAAAGAAGCAACACCCAACTGTACGCTGTCTTCGAGAGACCAATGTCACGTGTAATGACACACATAGGATCAAATTAAAGGGATGGAGAAAGATCTATCATGCAAATGGAAAAGAAAAAAGAATTGGGGTTGCTATTCTTATTTCAGATAAAACAAACTTTAAACCACAACATCAAAAGTAACAAGGAAGGTGTAATCTCAGCACTTTGGAAGGCCAAGGTAGGCAGATCACTTCAGATCAGGAGTTCAAGACAAGCCTGGCCAACACGGTGAAACCACATCTCTACTAAAAATACAAAAATTAGCTGAACGTGGTAGCATATGCCTGTAGTCCCAGCTACTCGGGAGGCTGAGCCACAAGAATCACTTGAACCCGGGAGGAAGAGGTTGCAGTGAGCCAAAATCATGCCACTGCACTCCAGCCTGGGTGAGAGAATGAGACTCCATCACTCAGACCATAGGACAACAAAAACAGAAATCAATATGAAGATCTCACAAAACATACAATTATATGAAAATTAAACAATCTACTCCTCAATGATTTTTGAGTAAACAATGAAATTAAGCAGAAATCAAGAAATTCATTGACCATCTTAACAATATTGATTCTTCCTATCCATGAGATTGGAGTGTTTTTCCATTCATTTCTGTCAGCTCTCACTTCATTCAGCAATATTTTGTAATTCTGATTGTACAGATCTTCCACTGCCCAGGTTAGCTGCATTCCTAGATTTTTGTTCATTTTGTGGCTATTGTGAAGAGGAATGCATTCTTGATTTAACTCTCAGCTTGGATGTTTTTGGTGTATAGGAATGCTATTGATTTTTGAACATCAATTTTTGTATCTTAAAACTTTGCAGCAAACTAACAGAAAAACAGAAAACCAAACACCACGTGTTCTCACTCCTAATTAGGAGTTGAACAATAAGAACACATGGACACAGGCAGGGGAATATCACACACTGGGGCCTGTTGGGGAATGGTCAGCTAGGGGAGGGATAGCATTAGGAGAAATACCTAATGTAGATGATGGGTTGATGGGTGCAGCAAACCACCATGGCACGTGTATACCTATGTAACAAACCTGCACGTTCTGCACATGTACCCCAAAATTTAAAGTATAATATTAAAAAAAAACTTTGCCAAAGATGTTTATCAGATCAAGGACCTTTGGGGCACAGATTACAGGGTTTCCTGGGTATAAAATCATATTGTCTGCAAACAGGGATCATTTAACTTCCTCTCTTCCTATTTGGAGGACTTTACTTCTTTCTCTTCCCTGATTGCTCTGGCTAGGACTTCCAGTACTATGTTGAATTGGAGTGGTAAAAGGGGGCACATTTGTCTTGTTGTGGTTTTCAAGGGGAATAATTACAGCTATTGCCCATTCAGTATGATGTTGGCTGTGGGATTTTCATAGACGGCACTAATTATTTTGAAGTATGTTCCTTCAATGCTTTGTTTGTTGAGGGTTTTTAACATGAAGGGATCTTGAATTGTATAGAAAGCTTTATCTGCAACTATTGAGATGATCATGTGGTTTTTGTCTTTAGCTCTGTTTATGTGATGAATCAAAATTATTGATTTGCATATGTTGAACAAACCTTGCATTCTAGGTATAAAGTGTATTTGATCTTAGTGGATCAGCTTTTTGATGTGCCGCTGAATTCAGTTTGCTTCTATTTCATTTGCTTATATTTCTGCATCCACATTCAAAGACAATATTGACCTGAAGTTTTCTTTTTTCATTGCCTCTCTACACAGCACAGGAAACTATCAACAGAGTAAACAGACAATCTACAGAATGAGAGAAAATATTTGCAAGCTATGCATCTGACAAAGGTCTAATATCCAGACTACAAAAGCTTAAAAACAAATTAAAAAGCAAAAAACAAACAACCCCACTAAAAATTGGGCAAAGGACATGAACAGATGCTACTCAAAAGAAGACATACACATGGCCAACAAGCGTATGAAAAAATGTTCAATCATTAGAGAAATGCACATTAAAATCACAATAAAATATATCATACCAGTCAGAATGGCTATTGAAAAGTCAAAAAATAACAGATATTGGCACAGTTATGGAGAAAAGGGAATGCTTATTCACTGCTGATGGCAATGTAAATTAGTTCCACTCCTGTGGAAATCAGTTTGGAGAATTCTCAAAGAACTTAAAACAGAACTATCATTCAACTAAACAATCCCACTAGTGGGTATATACCCAAGACAATATAAATCATTCTACCATAAAGACACATGCATGCATATGTTCAGTGAAGCACTATTCACAATAGGAAAGACATGGAATCAACCTAAATGTCTATCAGTGGTGAATGGGATAAAGGAAGTGTGATACATATACACCATGGAAAATTATGCAGCCATAAAAAAAATCATTTCCTTTGCAGTAACATGGATGGAGCTAGAGGCCATTATACTAAGCATGTCAACACAGGAACAGAAAACCAATACTGCATGTTCTCACTTACATAAGTGGGAGCTGAACATTGAGTACACATGGATAAAAATGATGAAACACCAGTGCCTACTTCAGGGTGGTCAGTGAAAGGAGGATAAGGATTGAAAAACTATTGACTACTATGCTCATTACCTGAGTGATGATATAATCTGTAGACCAAATCCCCATGACATGCAATTTACCCATGTAACAAACCTGAACATGTACCCCCCTGAACCTAGAATAAAAGTTGGAAAGCAAGAAAAGTGGGAATTTCTCTCATTTGCAACAACATGGATGAATGTGGAGGATATTAAGATAAGTGAAAAACTCCAGACACAGATAGAAAAACAGTGTGTGATTACACATATATGTGAAATCTAAAAAAGTTGAATTCATAGGAGCAGGGTAAAATGGTGGCTACCAGTGCCAAGGAGGCTGGGAAAATGGGGAGATATTAGTTAAAGTGTACAAAGTTTCAGTTATACAGGATGAATGAGTTTTAGAGGTTTAATTTAGAGCATGATGACTATAGCTACTAATACTGTGTTGTATACTTGAAGTTTGCTAAAAGAACAGACCTTAAGTCTCAACACTCCTCAAAATGGTAACTATGTGAGTATATGAAGACAAAGATATGTTAATTGACTTGACTATAGTAATCAGTTCAAAAAATATATATGACATTGTATACCTTAAATATACATTATATTAATTTAAATTTTTAAATTAAAAATAACTATCACTAAAAATTTCCCAATTTTATTGAAAATGTAAACTTATAGATTCAAAAATCTGCGTAAACACCAAATAAGATAAACCCAGAGATATGCATGCCAAGGCACATCATAATTAAGCTTTAAAAACTAAAACAAAACAAAACAAAAATATGGAAAGCAGCCAGAAAAAAATACTGTATTACAAATAAAAATGAATTTGAATGATAGCATGTCTCTCTTCTGAAACTATAGAGGCCAGAAGGAGACGTTACATTTTTCAGGTTCTGAAAGAAAACTGCTAATTGTGTATTCTACACCCAGAAAAAAATATCCTTCAGGAATGAGAGTGAAATAAAGACATTCTCAGATGAAGAAAAACTAAGATAATTTGATTCTGTAAAACCTACCCTTGAAAATGGCTAAAGGAATTTCCCCAGCAGAAAGGAAATGATAAGAAAAGAAGTCTTGAAACTTCAGAGAGGAAATAGTAACATAAGAACGGGTGGAAAATGTGGTTCAATATAATAAACTATTCTAATTCTTATTAGTTTCGTAAGTCATATTTGATTGTTGAATCCACAGTTATAACATTATCTGATATGGCGCTCAATGTATGTAAAAAATACTTAAGAAAATTATATTATTCTAGGGTAAGGAGACTTAAGTGGAAGTAAGGTTTCCATGCCTCACTAAGAGTAAAAAAAAATGTTGATAACTGTAGACTGTGATAATTTACATGTTTATTGTACTACCGAGAGAAATCATTAAGAAAATTCTACAAAGCAATATACTCAAAACAACATAAATAAATCAACATTAAATCATTAAAAATGTTCAATTAATGCACAAGAAGGTAAGAAAAGAGAAACAGAAGAACAAGAAAAACAGGAAACAGCCAGGTGTGGTGGCTTATGCCTGTAATTCTAGATATTTGGGAGGCCAAGGCAGAAGGATCACTTGAGCCCAGGAGTTCAAGATCAGCCTGGTTGACATAGGGAAACCCTACATCTACAAAAAATAAAAAAATTAGCCAGGCATGGTGGAACACTCCTGCGATCCCAGCTACTGGGGAGGCTGAAGTGAAAGGATCGCTTGAGCCTAGAAGGTCAAGGTTGCTGTGAGCCATGATCATGCCATTGCATTCCAGCCTGGATGACAGAGAAAAATTCTGTTTCAAAATAGGAAAAGAAAACAAAAAGAGAAAACAAGCAGAAAACACTTTTTTAATTTGCAGACTTAATCCCTAAAATATAATTACCTTAATGGTAAATGTCTTAATATATCAATTTTTAAAAGTAGGTTGAGGAAATGGATAAACTCCTGGTTACATAAAACCTCCCAAAATTGAACCTGGAAAAAAAATAGAAAACCTGGACAGCCAATAATGGATAACAAGATTGAATCAGTAATAAAAAGTCTTCCAACAAAGAAAAGCCCAGGACCCAATGGCTTCACTGCCAAGTTCTACCAAATGTATGAAGAACTAACACCAATTGTCCTCAAACTATTCCAAAAAATTGAAGAGTAAATTCCCCCTAATTCAATGTATAAGGCCAGAAATACCCTGATTAAAAAAACCAGAAAACCATGCAACAAAAAAGAAAACTACAGACCATTACTCATGATGAAAAAAGATGCAAAAATCAACAGAATACTAGCAAACCCAATTAAACGGCACATCAGAAAGATAATATAGCATGATCAAGTAGGATTTATCTCAGAGAGGCAAGGGTACTTCAACATTTGCAAAGCAGTAAATGAAATACATCAACAAAATAAGGACACAAATCATATGATCATCTAAACAGAGAAAAGGACTAGATAAAATTCAACATCTCAACTCTCAAAATAAAAAATGCTCAACAAACTAGGCATTGAAGAAACATACCTTAACATGAAAAAGGTCATATATGATAAACCCACAGCTAACATCATACTGAATGTGGAAATGCTGACAGCCTTTTTTCTAAGACACAGAAAAAGAAAAGGATATCCATTTTCACCACATCCATAAAACATAGTACTGAAAATTCTAGCCAGAGCAATTAGGCAGGAGAAAAAAATAAAAGGCATCCAAATTAGAAAAGAGGAAGTCAAACTGTCCCTTTGCAGAAATAATCTTATATTCAGAAAAACTTAAAGACTGCACCAAAAAATTCTTAGAACTAATAAACAAATTCATTAAAGTTGCAGGACAAAAAAAAATTGGCACACAAAAATCAGTAGCATTTCTATACATCAATTATGAAAAAGCTGAAAAAGAAATTGAGACAGCAATCCCGTTTACAACAGTCACAAAAATAAAAAGGAATACATTTAACAAAGGAGTTGAAAGACCTCTCCAAGGAAAACTACAAAACACTGATGAAAGAAATTTAAGAGGACACAAACAGATGGAAACATATCCCATGCTCATGAATTGGAAGAATTATTATTATCTAAATGACCATACTACCCAAAGCCATCTGTACATTCAATGCAATCTCTATTAAAAAAATCAATGATATTCTCACAAAAATAGAAAAAAATCCTAAAATTTATATGGAACCAAAAAGAGCCTGAGTAGCAAAAGCAATCCTAAAGAAAAAGAACAAAGCTGGAAGCATCACACTACCTGATGTCAAAATATATTACAAGGCAATATAGACAAAACAGCATGATATGGATATAAAAACAGACATGTAGACCAATGGAACAGAACACAGAATTCACAAATAAATCCACATATTTACAACCAACTCATTTGGTGCAAAGAACATACAATGGGGAAAGGACAGTCTCCTCAATAAACAGGGTTGGGAAAACTGGACATATCCTTATGTAGAACAATGAAACTAGACCCCTAAATCTCAGAATACGCAAAACTCAACTCCAAATGCTTAAAGCCTTAAACATAAGACCTGGAACTGAAAATACTAGAAGAAAACATAGGGGAAACACTGCAGTACATGGTATAAGAAATGATTTATTAAGAAAGACTGTAAAAGCATACGCAACAAAAACAAAAATAGACAAATAAGATGGTATTAAATTGAAAACCTACTGCAGAGCCAAGAAAACAATTAACAGAGTGAAGAGGCTACCTGTTCAATAAGAGAACATATTTGCAAACTATCCATCTAACAAAGGACTAATATCCAGAGTATATAAGGAACTCAAATAGTTCAACAGCAAAATCAAACAAACAAATAAATAATCCCATTAAAAACTGGGCAAAAGACCAGGGCAGACATTTCTCAAAAGAAGACATACAAATGGTCAAAAGGCACACGAAAAATGCTTAACATCACTAAACATCAGATACATGCAAATCAAAACCACAATGAGATATCATCTTACTCCAGTTAAAATGTCTATTATCAAAAAGACAAAAATAGCAGATACTGGCAAGGATGTGGAGAAAAGGAACTCTTATACACGGGTGGCGGCAGTGTAAATTAGTATAGGCATTACAGAAAACAATATTAAGGTTCCTCAAAAAGCTAAAAATAGAACTACCATATTATCCAGCATTCTACTACTGAGTATTTATCCAAAGGAAAGGAAATTAGTGTAACAAAGGAATATCTGCAGTTCCATGTTTATTACAGCACTATTCATAAATGCAAAGATATAGAATCAAGCTAAGTTTCCATCAATGGATAAATAATAAGAAAAATGTGGTATATATACAAAATGAAATCTATTCAGTTATTTAAAAAAAGAATAAAATCCTGTCATTTGCAGCAGCATGGATAGAACTGCACGTCCATCATGTTAAGTAAAATCAGCCAGTCACAGAAATATAAACATCACATATTCTCACTCATATGTAGTAGATAAAAAAAATTGATCTCATGAAGGTAGAGTGTAGAATGGTAGTTTAACAGAGGTGAGGAAGGCTGCATGGGGGAAGGACAAGAGAGGTTAGTTAATGGGTACAAATATACAACTAGATAGAAGGAATGAGGTCTAATGTTCAATAGCAGAGTAGGGTGATTATAATTAAAAACAATGTTGTTTTATATTTCAAAATAGCTAGGAGACAGGACTTAAAATGTTCCCAACATATATAAATAATAAACACTTGAGGTAATGGATATGCTAAACATTCTGAGTTGATCACTACACATTGTATTCATGTAATGAAATATTGCCTATGCTCCATAAATACAGAGAAATATTAAGAATCAATCTAAAAATAAATAAATAAATAAGTTTTTTTAAAGAAAAAAGCAGATTGACATAGATTTTCTTTAGTGATCCAAAAAAATGTTCTCTACAATAAATCATTTCAAATACAATGACATAGGTCAATTTAAAGCAAAAACATGGAAAGAAATATACCATATAAATATTAATTTTTTTAAAAAGCAGCAATCACTATATGGATTTTTTTTATTATACTTTAAGTTTTAGGGTACATCTGCACAACGTGCATGTTAGTTACATATGTATACATGTGCCATGTTGGTATGCTGCACCCATTAACTCGTCATTTAACATTACATATATCTCCTAATGCTATCCCTCCCCCCTGCCCCCACCCCACAACAGGCCCCGGTGTGTGATGTTTGCCACCCTGTGTCCATGTGTTCTCATTGTTCAATTCCCACCTATGAGTGAGAACATGCGGTGTTTGGTTTTTTGTCCTTGTGATAGTTTGCTTCAACCACGTCCCTACAAAGGACATGAACTCATCATTTTTTATGGCTGCACAGTATTCCATGGTGTATATGTGCCACATTTTCTTAATCCAGTCTATCATTGTTGGACATTTGGGTTGGTTCCAAGTCTTTGCTATTGTGAATAGTGCCACCATAAACATACATGTGCATGTGTCTTTATAGTAGCATGATTTATAATCCTTTGGGTATATACCCAGTAATGGGATGGCTGGGTCAAATGGTATTTCTAGTTCTAGATCCCTGAGGAATCGCCACACTGACTTCCACAATGGTTGAACTAGTTTACAGTCCCACCACCACTGTAAAAGTGTTCCTATTTCTCCACATCCTCTCCAGCACCTGTTGTTTCCTGACTTTTTAATGATCGCCATTCTAACTGGTGTGAGATGGTATCTCATTGTGGTTTTGATTTGCATTTCTCTGATGGCCAGTGATGATGAGCATTTTTTCATGTGTCTTTTGGCTGCATAAATGTCTTCTTTTGAGAAGTGTCTGTTCATATCCTTTGCCCACTTGTTGATGGGGTTGTTTGTTTGTTTCTTGTAAATTTGTTTGAGTTCATTGTAGATTCTGGATATTAGCCCTTTGTCAGATGAGTAGATTGCAAAAATTTTCTCCCATTCTGTAGGTTGCCTGTTCACTCTGATGGTAGTTTCTTTTGCTGTGCAGAAGCTCTTTAGTTTAATTAGATCCCATTTGTCAGTTTTGGCTTTTGTTGCCATTGCTTTTGGTGTTTTAGTCATGAAGTCCTTGCCCATGCCTATGACCTGAATGGTATTGCCTAGGTTTTCTTCTAGGGTTTTTATGGTTTTAGGTCTAACATTTAAGTCTTTAATCCATCTTGAATTAATTTTTGTATAACGTGTAAGGAAGGGATCCAGTTTCAGCTTTCTACATATGGCTAGCCAGTTTTCCCAGCATCATCTATTAAATAAGGAATCTTTTCCCCATTTCTTGTTTTTGTCACGTTTGTCAAAGATCAGATAGTTGTAAATATCCGGCATTATTTCTGAGGGCTCTGTTCTGTTCCATTGGTCTATATCTCTGTTTTGGTACCAGTACCATGCTGTTTTGGTACCAGTACCATGCTGTTTTGGTTACTGTAGCCTTGTAGTATAGTTTGAAGTCAGGTAGCGTGATGCCTCCAGCTTTGTTGTTTTGGCTTAGGATTGACTTGGCGATGTGGGCTCTTTTTTGGTTCCATATGAACTTTGAAGTAGTTTTTTCCAATTCTGTGAAGAAAGTCATTGGTAGCTTGATGGGGATGGCATTGAATCTATAAATTACCTTGGGCAGTATGGCCATTTTCACGATATTGATTCTTCCTATCCATGAGCAAGGAATGTTCTTCCATTTGTTTGTACCCTCTTTTATTTCATCGAGCAGTGGTTTGTAGTTCTCCTTGAAGAGGTCCTTCACGTCCCTTGTAAGTTGGATTCCTAGGATTTTATTCTCTTTGAAGCAATTGTGAATGGGAGTTCACTCATGATTTGGCTCTCTGTTTGTCTGTTATTGGTGTATAAGAATGCCTGTGATTTTTGCCCATTGATTTTGTATCCTGAGACTTTGCTGAAGTTGCCTATCAGCTTAAGGAGATTTTGGGCTGAGACAATGGGGTTTTCTGGATATACAATCATGTCGTCTGCAAACAGGGACAATTTGACTTCCTCGTTTCCTAATTGAATACCCTTTATTTCCTTCTCCTGCCTGATTGTCCTGGCCAGAACTTCCAACACTATGTTGAGCAGAAGTGGTGAGAGAGGGCATCCCTGTCTTGTGCCAGTTTTCAAAGAGAATGCTTCAAGTTTTTGCCCATTCAGTATGATATTGGCTGTGGGTATATGGATATTAGGTAGAGTAGATTTTAGAGAGAAAAATTACTTGTGACAAATGAAAACATTATGTAATGATAAAAGGATCAATTCACCAGTGGGACATAACAATCCTAAATGAGTGCAAACCAAACCACACAGCCTCAAAATACGTAATACGTAAAACAAAAACTAGTAGAGCGGGAAAGAGAAATGCAGAAACATAAAATTCGAGTTATAGTCCCCAATTTACTCCACTCTCAGCATATTATAGAACTACCAGACAGAATGGGACAAATATTTGCAAACTATGCATCCGACAGGTTAAGTCACATGCAGAATCTACAAGGAATTCAAACAACTCAACAACAGCAAAAAAAGCAAACCCATTAAAGAGTGGGCAAATTACATGAACAGACATTTTGCAAAGGAAGACATATAAATTGCGAATAAACATATGAAAAGATACTCAATATCACAAATCATCAGAATAATACAAATTAAACCACAGCGAGATACCATCTTACACCAGTCAGAATGGCTATTATTTAAAAGTCAATCAACAACAGATATTGATGAGGATGCACAGAAAAGGGAACAATTATACATTGCTTGTTGGAATGTAAATTTGCACAACTTCTATGGAAAACATAAAACAGTTGACTCAGCAATCCCACTACTGGGTACCTACCGAAAGGAAGAGAAATCATTGTATCAAAAGATAACTGCACTTATACATTTAGCACAGCACAAGTCACAATAGCAGAGATATGGAATCAACTTAAGTGTCTATCGATGGATAGTAAGAGAAATAAAGTGTGGTGTATATATATTCCATGGAATATTATTCGGCCTTAAAAAAAGAATGAAATCATGTCTTTTGCAAAAACAAGGATGGAACTGGAGTCCATTATTTTAAGTGAAATATCTCAGAAATAAAGTCAAATATCACATGTTCTCACTTGTAAGTAGGAATTAAATAATGTGTACACATAAACATAGAGAGTGAAATAATTCACAGTGAAGACTCAGAAAAGTGGAAGAGTGGGAACAGGGAGAGGGATGATAAATGACCTTGTGGGTACAATGGACACTATTTGTGATGGCTACACTAAAAGCCTAGGCAAACCACTACATAATATGCTCATGTAACAAAACTGCACTTGTACCCCTTTCATCTCTAAAAAAATTTTTTAAAGAAAATTAGCAAGGATATAGAACTCAACAACACAATCAACCAACAGTATCTATTTGACAAATATAGAATATTTCATCCAACAAAAGAACAACATACATGTTTCTCCAGAGTTCACAGAGTATTCCCAAGACAAACCATACCCTAGGCAATAAAACAAATCTCAAAAACTTTAAAATTTAAAACAATTGAGGTGAAGCAGAGTGTTTTTTCTTAACACAATGGAATTAAACTAGAAATCAATAACAAAACAAGAAGAAGGTTTCCAAACACTTGCAAATTAATTAGTACACTTCTAAGGAGCTCATGATTCAAAGAAGAAGTCTGAAAGGAAATTTTGAAAAATAAATATAACTAAATGAAAAAAACACCTGTATTAAAACAGCTAAAGCAGTGCAGAGAGAATAATTAATAACACTTAGTAAAACCTTACAAAAGACAGAGCACCAAATCAGAGTACCAATAATCTAAGTTCCTACTTCAAGAAACTAGAAAAAAAGAGCAAAATAAACTAAAAGCAGAGAAAGGAAGAAATAATAACAGGAAAAAAAAAAGAGAAAATCAACTGCAGCAACAGGCTAGTTCTTGAAAAAAAAATAAATATACCTGAAAAACCATCAGGTAAGACTGATGACAAACTACAAAAACTAAACCAAGATGAAGGCAACAAACAAAATAGTCCTATAATTTACTAAGTAAATTAAATTTGGAATATCAAATCTCTCATGAAATTATCTCCAGACCCAGTTGGTTTCACCAGAGAATTCTACCAAACATTTAACAAAGAATTAACAAGAATTTGTCACAAAAACTTCCAGAAAGCAAATAAAAGGAATACTTCCTAATTTACTTTATGAAGATAGTATTACCCAGATAACAAAATCAAATTAAGACAACACAAATAAAATATTAATAAAACTAATATTTAAGTATAAAATGTAGAAATGTAAATTTTATTTTTTAAAAAAAGGAAAAAATCATCAATATTCAGAGCTAAGCAAAGAATTCTAAGAGGTGAAACCACGAGCACAATCTATTTTTTAAAAAACTGATAAGCCGTCCTCTGTGAAGAACCCTGTCAAGTTAAGAGGGTGAAAATACAAGTTAAGAAATGAAAGAAAATAAATGAAAACCATATATCCAACAAAGGACTAGTCTCTAGAATATATAAAAACTCTTGAAACACAACTTTACAAAAAAGAAATAATCAAAATATAAAATGGGCAAAAAATATAAATACATATTTCAAGGAAGATATTATACAGATGGCAAATAACATGTTTATTCAATGTCATTAGCCAGCATGAAATGAAAATTAGTACCACAATTAGTTCTTACTACAGCATTATCAAAACGACTAAAACTTAAAAATACTGATAATACAATATTCTGGTAATAATGTGGAAATACTAGACCATTCATACACTGCTGGTGGGAACAAAATTGTACGACTACTCTGGAAAATTGTTTGGCATCTTCTTAGAAAATTAAATGTGCTTTCAGGATTCTTTCTTTGCTTGACTTTTTAAAGTCTGATTATAATGTGTCTCAATATGAATCCATCTTACCTGGAGTTTGTTGAGCATCTTGGATGCTTATATTCATTTCTTTCATCAAATTCGGAAAGCTTTGGTCATTATTTCTTCAAATATTCTCTCTATAACTTTCTTTTTTCTTTCTGGGATTCCCACTATACACATGTTGGTCCACTTGATGGTGTCCCACAGGTCCCTTCTGTTCCATTCACTTATGTTCCACCTTTTCTCGTTCTTTAGACTCAATAATTTTCATTGCGCTATCTTCAAGTTTGCTGATTCTTCTGTCTGCTTAAATCTGTCTTTGAATTGTTCTGGTAATTTTTTTATTTAAAGTATTGTAATTTTCAGCTCTCAAATTTCTATTTTTTTGTTTGCTATTTCTTTATCAATATTTCCATTTTGCTTATACATCATTTTCTTGACTTTCTCCATATCTTCCTTTAGTTTTTTCAACATGTTATCAGAACAGGTGTGTCTATACTAATATTAGACAAAATGTACTTTAAATGTAAAAAGGTTACAAGAGACAAAGAAAGTAATTACATATTAACAAAATGTTTCAATACAACAATATTTACTTATCTAATGACAGACCATCAAAATATAAGCAAAAACTGACAAAATTGAAGGAAGTAGACAGTTCTATGATAGTAGTTGCATACTTCAATGTCAAACTCACAATATTAAATAAAACAACCAGATAGAATATAAAGAGAGAATTTAACACAATAAATCAACTAATCTAACAGACATATACAGAACACTCGACCAAACCATAGCATATACATTCTAATCAAGTGCACATTTTTCAGGACAGATCATACGTTAGGCCAATAATTAAGTCTCACTAGATTTCAAAAATACAGAACATACAAAGGATCTTCTCCAGCCACAATGGGATGAAGTTAGAAATCAACAGATGTAAAACTGCAATAGTCACAAATTTGAAGAAATTAAACAATACACTGTTAAACAACCAATTGATCAAAGAAGAAATATGAAGGGAAATAGAAAATACTTAAATACAAATGAAAATGAAAACATACCAAAACTCGTGGGATGCAGCAAAAACAGTGCTAAGGCCAAAATTTTTAGTTTACTTTTTAAAAAAGTCTCAAACAAATAACTTTATAACATAAGGAACTAGAAAAAGAACAACAAAATAAACACACAGCCATCAGAACAAAGGGTATAATAAAGATTAGAGCAGAGACAAATTAAAAATAGAGAAACAATAGAAAAAATCAGTGAAACCAAAAGTTGGTTCTTTGGAAAGATGAACAAAATTCACAAACCTTTAGCTAGATGAACGAAGAAAAAAAAGAGAAGACTCAAATTACTAAAGTCAGAAATGAAAAATGGAATATTACTACTCATTATACAGAAATAAAAAGGATGATAAGGCAATCCTATAACAATTACACATCAACCAACTGAAGAATCTAGAAGAAATGGACAAATTCCTAGAAACACAAAATCTACCAACACTAACCACAGAGAAACAGAAAATCTGAATAGACCTACAACAATAAAGAAATTGACTCAGTTGTCAAAAAAATCTCATCTCTGATGTTGGTGAAAAAATGCAAAGTTTCATTTAGGAGAATTAGTTTTAGAGATCTATTACACAGCATGGTGACTATAGTTGATAATAGTATACTGTATACTTGAAAATTGCTAAGACAGCACATTTTAAATGCTCTCACTACAAAAAAGATACATATTTCAGGTGCTGGATATGTTAAGTAGCTTGATGTAATCATTTTGCCATGTATACATACATCAAAATATCATATTGTAACCCATAACTATATACAAAAGACATCTCCTGACAAAGAAAAGCCCCCATGGCTTCGCAGAGGAATTATAACAAACATTTAAAGAAGGATTAAAACCAATCCTTCTCAAACTTTTCCAAAATACTGAAAATGAGGGAGTACTTCCTAACTCATTCTGTAAGGCCAACAGTACCCTAACAACAAAGTCACACAAATACACTACTAGAAAAAAAAAGCTACAAAACAATATCCCTTATGAACACTGGCATGAAATTATCAGAAAAATACTAGCAAACCAAATACAGCAGCATATTAAAAGAATTATACACCATGACCAAGTGGGATTTATTCCTGAGATGCAAGAATTGTTCAACATATGAATATTGATCAATGTAATATCTAATAAGAGACTGAATGGGAAAAAACACACAACATCTCAATTGATGTAGAAAAAGCATTTGACAAAATTCAACACCATTTTATAATAAAAACTCTCAACAAATAAGGAAGAAAAGGAAACTAACTCAACACGATAAAGGCTATATGTGAATAACCCACAGCATACATCATACATCATACTCAGTGGTGAAAGACTGAAAACTCTTCTTTTAAAATCAACAATAAGAAAAGGATGCCTACTTTCACCACTTCTATTCAACATGGTACTTACTAGAAGTTCTAGCCAGAGCAATTAGGCAAAAAAAAAAAAAAAAAAAAAAGGAAAGAAAGAAATGAAAGGCATCCAAGTTGGAAAGAACGAAGTAAGTAATCTCTGTTTGCAGATAATATGATCTTACATATGTAAAACCCTAAAGATTCCCCCCACCAAAAAAAAAATCCCGTTAGAACTAATAAATGAATTGAGCAAAATAGTAGGACACAAAGTCAGCATGCAGGAGATCTCAGGGTATCAGCAAGATAGCAGAATAGTAGATGCCCTGGCATCACTTCCCAACACAAAAATTCAAGAAACTATTCAAAAATGAGAATACTATCCTGAGTTCACCAGAACTCTGGGTTTGGAGGAGAAGTGGAGAAAATATCTGCGTCCATAAAATCAAGAGAAGCCATTACTGGTAAAAGAAAAAGTCATTTTAGGCTCCATCAGCCTATCCCCCAAGCTGGCATAATGTCACTCACAGAGACTCTAGACCTGTGATTTCTGAGCTGAAAGAGGAGAACTGGAGGTGAATCTTTAACCTCTTCATGAGTCTAAGAGAAGAGTCTTAACAGGAAGCCTACTCCAGTCCCATCCCATGGGAACCACTGAGAGTGGAGTGGCTGAATCATCCGGGGTGAACTAGGAACAAAGAGCAGGATGCTGATCACAGCAACTGACGTGTGAAACTCAGCAGCTACTCTGCACTCTGATCACCAGGGATGCCACAGTTAAGAGACTGACTGGAAGGAGGGTTCAAAATGGCTGGCCAGATGCAGCTAGTAGGTGCCTCTTCCATTAAGAAAAATCAAAATATCAAGTAAATATACACACTTTGAATGGATTGTCTAAGAGAGAACACTGGAATTCAACAGAGAAGTGACAAGAATCACAGAAAGCAAATAAGAATGAATCCAAGCAGCCTACTGGGCTGGGATAGGTGTGAAACTGATAGAAGCTCCCTGATGTGGGGAAAAGGTGAGTGAGAGACCCCTAGGGCTCCACACTCCTATAATAGATTTTTTCAATTCTATCTGTAGAAGAGTCCCTCAGTCCTCCCAGGCCTCCAGGATAAAAGGGAACTGCCTAGAAATTACACAAAGGCATTTTCGAACTCATGTGAAGTCCCACAGGCTTTTGAGCCCTGAGCAGCTGTAGCCTAGTCCCAGTCTGAGAGCCCAACCCCCAGAGGCCTGTGTGTTACCCTGGGTCTGCCATCAGTATCACTGCCCCAGCCACAAGGCCAGAGAGAAAGCAGGGCACTCAAACACCTTCACAAGGCCCCAAAAACAGATACCACCACCACTGCTGTGGGACAGAGAAGTGAGCAAACTGAGCACCCCATAACTGCTTGACTTTGCTGATCCCACTGAGAGACGCCTGCCCCGATATACATATGCCATGGCAGACCCACAGTGCTGCCACCCTGCCCCCATCTGAGCATCTCCACTGAAGCCAGCACCACTCTGAGAGGCCAGACCCCAGACGCCTGTGTTCTGCCCTTAGACTCCTGCCATCCCTGCTGCCTCTGCCACCCTCAGGCCAGAAAGAAGCAGGCAGGTCAGGCACTTTCATATGCCTCAAGGACAGATACCACTACCACTGCTGTCAGATGGAAGTGTGAGCAAAACATGTGTATCACAGCTGCCTGCCTCCACTGCTCAAGGCAGAGAAAGGTCCAGCCTCCCTTGGTGGCAGGTCCACAGCACAGCCACCCTGCCTGAGCATTCTGCTGCAGGACTGGGGACCAGCCCACTCCTCCCTATCACAGGCAGCACCTGAACCCTAGGGACCTGAGGACAAATCCAGCAGTCCAGTCCAACCAGGACTCATGCATACCATCCAAGGGGCCATCTAGGGGCCTGGAAATTGGGGGACTGCCTAGCCCAGTCCACCACAACTGGCACCTGATCAGTCCAGGGTCTAAGTCAGGCCAACCCAACCAGCTGACAACATCACAGCTGGCATGCACTTGCACATGCCAAAAAGTGGAGCCACTCCCCCTCTATATACAAAGCAGCAGTGTTCCTGCATTGGAGGCCAGGAACACCACAAAGCTGAGATAAGAGGTTCTACTCCAAAGCCACTTCGACAGAGAGCCATAGGACAGGAATTTTCTGCAGCCCTCAGTTACACTGTGGCCTGGAGGTAGACAACCATGTCTGACTAAACTGAGAGTCATGAGCCCTGGGACAGGGGTATAACAGGGAAATGGATTGCATTCCCACCTGCCTAGGATGTGAAGCTGGTGCAGCCAACTCCCCTCCTTCAGAGAGCTCAGTACATTTCACCAGGAGCTCTCCCTGCCACTCATGTCAGTGCTGATGTCTTCTCTTGTCAATAGGGTATTCATGGGTGAGCTTGGATGTCCAGTTCCACCCAGCTTTGTCCCCCCACCTATGGAAGCTCAGCAGGGAATTCCTGGAAACTGGGCATTCTACAGACCGGCCCATCACCTGAAACAACAGAGAGCACCTCCCAGTAAACAAAGATCAAGCCCATACCCATCTGCTTCTGCCACAGCCACTCTTACACATAGATGCTACCTACTTACTAGCTTGGGGGTTGAACTGCACAACACAATACAAAACCTGATAATGGAAGTCCACAGTGTTGAGGAATGAGATAAGCTTCCTGAGACAAATACAATCCTGTTATTGCAGAAGGCAATTAGCCTGCTCAAATACCCAGGACATCACTACTAAAACTGGCATTTAAGAAAGCCACTGCACAAAGGCTATCTATAACCAAGGAACTCATACAGTACCTTGATACCTGAAAGCACCTAGAATTGAAGCCAAACAATCATACACAACATACAGGACAATCATACCTTCAAGGAGGAAAAACAATGTCCCATCAAAACAAAACTAAACTCAAAGATAAGAAGTGATGGCTTCTTCAGATGAGAGGGAACCAGCATAAGAACACTGGCAATATGAAAAAACAAAGTGTTGTACCACCTGCAAAGGATCACATCAGCTTTCTAGCAATGGATCTTATTCAAAATGAAAATTCAAAGATAAAGAATTCAAAATATGGATGGTATGAAAGCTCAATAAGATCCAAGAGACAGTTGAAAACCAATACAAAGTAATCAGAAAAAACAATTCAGAATATGAATCGAAAACTTACTAAGGATAATTATTTTTTAAAAAAGAACTTCTAGAACTAAAAATTCATTAAAGGAACCACAATATAGAGATCAAAGCCCTAATAATAGGCTAGAACAAACAAAAACAACTTCAGAGCTAGAAAACAGAGCTTTTTAATTAACCCAGTTAGACAAAAAAAATTAAAGAATAAAAATGAGCAGAGCCTTTGAGAAACATGGGATTATTTAAACTTACTAAGCTATGAGTTATCATTGTTTCAGAAGAAGATGTAAAAAGTATTAAAAAAATTGAGGGAATAATTTAGGAAAACTTCCCTGGTTTTGCTAGAGATTTGACATTCACATACAAGAAAGTCAGAAAACTCCTGGAAGATACATTGCAAGACAAACTTCACCATGGCATATACTCATCAGAAGATCCAAAGTTAACATGAAAGAGAAAGTCCTAAAAGTGGAAAGAAAGAAGGGGCTAATCAGCTATGAAGGAAATACCATCAGACTGACAGTGGACTTCTCAGCAGAAACCTTACAAACAAGAAGATGCTGGGTTCCTATTTTCAGTCTCTTTGAAGAAAAAAAAAATCTAGCAAAGGATTTTGTATCCTGCTAAATTAAGCTTCATTAATGAAAATAAAATAAAATATTTCCTAGACAAGAAACGGCTAAGGGAATTCATCACTACTAGACCAGCTATACAAGAAATTTTCAATGGAGTTCAAAACGTGGAAATGAATGGGCAATGCCATCATAAAAACACAGGAATATAAAAAACTTATAGAACTTATAAAACAATTACACAACCAAGATTGCAAACCATCTAAGTAACAATTAACATTATGACAGGGACAAAAACCTCACATATGAATATTAACCTTGAATGTAAATGAACTAAATGCCTAACTTGAAAGATATAGATTGGCAGAATGAATTTTAAAAAAGAAGATCCAATGATAGCTTCTTATAAGAAACCCACCTAACTCATAAAGATATTTAAAGACTCAAAGTCAAAAAGTAGAAACAGATATTTTATGCAAATGGAAACCAAAAATGAGCAGGAATAGCTATACTTACACCAGATAAAATAGATTTTAAATCAACAACAGTTAAAAAAAAAAAAAGCAGGACATTATATGGTGATAAAGTGATAAATTCAACAAGAAAATATAACAATTCTATATACATAGAGCACCCATATTCATAAAACAAACACTACCAGAACTAAGAGATAAATAGCAAAACAATAATAGTGGGGGATTTCAACACCCCACTGACAGCATTAAACAGATCATTGAGGCAGAAAAATCAACAAAGAAAGTCTTTACTTAAATTGGTCTCTAGACTAAATAGAACAGATAGAAATTTACAAAACATTCTAGCCAACAACCACACAATATATATTCTCCTGTTCTGCACATGAAACATCCCCCAAAATATACCATATGTCAGGCCACAAAACAAGTGTCAATAAAACTTTTAAATTGAAATCAAGTATTTTTTTCAGACTACAGTGGAATTAAAACTGGAAATCAACACCAACAGAAACTATCAAAAAGATACAAATATGTGGAAATTGAACAACCTGCTCCTGAAAGATTGTTGCATCAATAATGAAATTAGGCTAGGAATTTAAATTTTTTTGAAACAAATGAAAACAGAAACACAACATACTAAAACATACAGGATACAGCAAAAGAAATGCTAAGAGGGAAGCTTATAGTGTTAAATGCCTACCTTAAAAAGATAATAAGATCTCCAACTGACAATCTACAGTCACACCTCAAGAACAAGAACAAAGCCAAAGGTAGCAGAACAAAAGAAACAACAAAGATCAGAGCAGAACTAAATGAAACTGAGACCAAACAAAAATACAAAGGATCGGAGCTGGCAGTCAAGATGGCCAAATATGAACAGCTCCAGTCTACAGCTCCCAGTGTGAGCGACGCAGAAGATGGGTGATTTCTGCATTTCCATCGGAGGTACCGGGTTCATCTCACTAGGGAGTGCCAGACAGTGGGTGCAGGACAGTGGGTGCAGTGCACTGTGCGTGAGCCAAAGCAGGGTGAGGCATTGCTTCACTCGGGAAGCACAAGGGGTCAGGGAGTTCCCTTTCCTAGTCAAAGAAAGGGGTGACAGACGGCACCTGGAAAATTGGGTCACGCCCACCCTAATACTGCGCTTTTCCGACAGGCTTAAAAAACGGTGCACCAGAAGATTATATCCCACACCTGGCTCGGAGGGTCCTATGCCCACGGAGTATTGCTGATTGCTAGCACAGCAGTCTGAGATCAAACTGCAAGGCGGCAGTGAGGCTGGGGGAGGGGCACCTGCCATTGCCCAGGCTTGCTTAGGTAAACAAAGCAGCCGGGAAGCTCCAACTGGGGGAAGCCCACCACAGCTCAAGGAGGCCTGCCTGCCTCTGTAGGCTCCACCTCTGGTGGCAAGGCACAGACAAACAAAAAGACAGCAGTAACCTCTGCAGACTTAAATGTCCCTGTCTGACAGCTTTGAAGAGAGCAGTGGTTCTCCGAGCATGCAGCTGGAGATCTGAGAACGGGCAGACTGCCTCCTCAAGTGGGTCCCTGACCCCTGACCCCCAAGCAGCATAACTGGGAGGCACCCCCCAGTAAGGGCAGACTGACACCTCACACGGCTGGGTACTCCTCTGAGACAAAACTTCCAGAGGAACGATCAGACAGCAGCATTCGCGGTTCACGAAAATCTGCTGTTCTGCAGCCACCGCTGCTGATACCGAGGCAAACAGGGTCTGGAGTGGACCTCTAGCAAACTCCAACAGACCTGCAGCTGAGGGTCCCATCTGTTAGAAGGAAAACTAACAAACAGAAAGGATATACACACCAAAACCCATCTGTACATCACCATCATCAAAGACCAAAAGTAGATAAAACCACAAAGATGGGGAAAAATCAGAGCAGAAAAACTGGAAACTCTAAAAAGCAGAGTGCCTCTCATCCTCCAAAGGAATGCAGTTCCTCACCAGCAACAGAACAAACCTGGATGGAGAATGACTTTGACGAGTTGAGAGAAGAAGGCTTCAGACGATCAAACTACTCCGAGCTACAGGAGGAAATTCAAACCAAAGGCAAAGAAGTTAAAAACCTTGAAAAAAATTTAGACAAATGTATAACTAGAATAACCAATACAGAGAAGTGCTTAAAGGAGCTGATGGAGCTGAAAGCCAAGGCTTGAGAACTACGTGAAGAATGCAGAAGCCTCAAGAGCTGATGCGAACAACTGGAAGAAAGGGTATCAGCAAAGG